>NC_000014.9:17540937-17699083 GCF_000001405.40 Homo sapiens | reverse complement strand
TTCTACAAAAAGAGTGTTTCCAAACCGCTGCATCAAAAGAAAGGTTCAACTCTGATAGTTGAGGACACACATCACAAAGAAGTTTGTGAGAATGCTTCTGTCCAGATTTTGTATGACGATATTCCCTTTTCCAACGATATCGTTAAAGCAATCTAAATATCCATTTGCAGAATCCACAAAAATAGAGTTTCAAAGCTGCTCTGTAAAAAGAAAGGTTCCACTCAGTTAGCTGAGTACACACATCACAAACTTGTTTCTGAGAATCCTTCTGTCTCGTTTTTATGGGAAGATATTTACTTTTTCACCGTAGGCATCAAAGCGCTCCAAATGTCCACATCCAGATACTCCAGAAAGAGTTTTTCAAACCTGCTCTATGAAAGGGAATCTTCAACTCTATGAGTTGAATGCAGACATCAGAAAGAAATTTCTGAGAATGCTGCTGTCTACCTTTTATTTGAATTCCCGCTTCCAACGAAATCCTCCAAGCTATCCAAATATCCACCTGCATTTTCCACAAAAAGAGTGTTTCAAAACTGCTCTATCAATAGAAATGTTCAACTCCTTTTTTCTGGGTACACACATCACAAACAAGTTTCTGAGAATGCTTCTGTCTAGTTTTTATGGGAAGACATTCCCTTTTTCACCAAAGGCATCAAAGCGCTCCAAATGTCGACTTCCAGACACTACAAAAAGAGTGTTTCAAACGTGCTCTAAGAAACCGAATGTTCAACTCTGTGAGTTGAATGCAGATATCACAAAGTAGTTTCTGAGAGGGCTTCTGTCTAGATTTTAGATGATGATATTCCCGTTTCCAACGAAATCGTTAGAGCTATCCAAATATCTACTTACAGTTTCTACAAAAAGAGTGTTTCCAAACTGCTGCATCAAAAGAGAGGTTCCACTCTGTTAGCTGAGTACACACATCACAAACTTGTTTCTCAGAATCCTCTGTCTCGTTTTTATGGGAAGATATTTACTTTTTCACCGTAGGCCTCAAAGCGCTCCAAATGTCCACATCCAGATACCACAGAAAGAGTATTTCAAACCTGCTCTATGAAAGGGAATGTTCAACTCTATGAGTTGAATGCAGACATCAGAAAGAAATTTCTGAGAATGCTGGCTGTCTACCTTTTATTTGAATTTCCGCTTCCAACGAAATCCTCCAAGCTATCAAAATATCCACTTGCAGATTCCACAAAAAGAGTGTTTCAAAACTGCTCTCTATCAATGGCAAAGTTCAACTCTGTTAGTTGAGGACACATATCACCAACGAGTTTCTGAAAATGCTTCTGTCTATTTTTTATGGGAAGATATTTCCTTTTTCACCGTAGGCGTCAAGGCGATCGAAATGTCCACTTCCACAAACTACAAAAAGAGTGTTTCAAACCTGCTCTATGAAAGGCCATGTTCATCTCTATGAGTTGAATGGAAATATCCGAAAGAAATTTCTGGGAATGCTGCTGTCTAGTTGTTATACGAATTCCCGCTTCCAACGAAATCCTCAAAGCAATCCAAATATCCACTTGCAGAATCCACAAAAAGAGTGTTTCAAAACTGCTCTATCAATAGAAAGGTTCAACTCTTTTAGTTGAGTACACACATCACAAACAAGTTTCTGAGAATGCTTCTGTCTGGCTTTTATTGGAAGACGTTTCCTTTTCACCAAAGGCATCAAAGCGCTCCAAATGTCCACTTCCAGATTCTTCCAAAAGAGTGTTTCAAACGTGCTCAAAGTAAGGGAATGTTCAACTCTTTGACTTGAATGCAGATATCACCAAGTAGTTTCTAATAGTGCTTCTGTCTAGATTTTAGATGACGATATTCCCGTTTCCAGCGAAATCGTTAGAGCTATCCAAATATCCACTTACAGTTTCTACAAAAAGAGTGTTTCCAAACTGCTGCATCAAAAGAAAGGTTCAACTCTGTTAGTTGAGGACACACATCACAAAGAAGTTTGTGAGAATGCTTCTGTCTAGATTTTGTATGACCATATTCCCTTTTCCAACGATATCGTTAAAGCAATCTAAATATCAATTTGTAGAATCCACAAAAATAGAGTTTCAAAGCTGCTCTGTAAAAAGAAAGGTTCCACTCTGTTAGCTGAGTACACACATCACAAACTTGTTTCTCAGAATCCTTCTGTCTCGTTTTTATGGGAAGATATTTACTTTTTCACCGTAGGCATCAAAGCGCTCCAAATGTCCACATCCAGATACACCAGAAAGACTGTTTCAAACCTGCTCTATGAAAGGGAATCTTCAACTCTATGAGTTGAATGCAGACATCAGAAAGAAATTTCTGAGAATGCTGCTGTCTACTTTTTTATGAATTCCCGCTTCCAACGAAGTCCTCAAAGCAATCCAAATATCCACTTGCAGATTCCACAAAAAGAGTGTTTCAAAACTGCTCTATCAATAGAAAGGTTCAACTCTTTTAGTTGAGTACACACATCACATACAAGTTTCTGAGAAAGCTTCTGTCTACTTTTTAAGGGAAGACATTTCCTTTTTCACCAAAGGCATCAAAGCACTCCAAATATCCACTTCCAGATTCTACAAAAAGTGTGTTTCAAACCTGCTCTAAGTAAGGGAGTTTTCAACTCTGTGACTGGAATGCAGATATCACAAAGTAGTTTCTGAGACTGCTTCTGTCTAGATTTTAGATGATGATATTCCCGTTTCCAACGAAATCATTAGAGCTATCCAAATATCCACTTACAGTTTCTACAAAAAGAGTGTTTCCAAACTGCTGCATCAAAAGAGAGGTTCCACTCTGTTAGCTGAGTACACACATCACAAACTTGTTTCTGAGAATCCTTCTGTGTCGTTTTTATGGGAAGATATTTACTTTTTCACCGTAGGCATCAAAGCGCTCCAAATGTCCACATCCAGATACTCCAGAAAGAGTGTTTCAAACCTGCTCTATGAAAGGGAATCTTCAACTACTATGAGTTGAATGCAGACATCAGAAAGAAATTTCTGAGAATGCTGCTGTCTACCTTTTATTTGAATTCCCGCTTCCAACGAAAACCTCCAAGCTATCCAAATATCCACTTGCAGATTCCACAAAAAGAGTGTTTCAAAACTGCTCTATCAATAGAAATGTTCAAATCCTTTCGCTGGGTACACACATCACAAACAAGTTTCTGAGAAAGCTTCTGTCTAGTTTTTATGGGAAGACGTTCCCTTTTTCACCAAAGGAATCAAAGCGCTCCAAATGTCCACTTCCAGACACTACAAAAAGAGTGTTTCAAACGTGCTCTAAGAAAGCGAATGTTCAACTCTGTGACTTGAATGCAGATATCACAAAGTAGTTTCTGAGAGGGCTTCTGTCTAGATTTTAGATGATGATATTCCCGTTTCCAACGAAATCGTTAGAGCTATCCAAATATCCACTTACAGTTTCTACAAAAAGAGTGTTTCCAAACTGCTGCATCAAAAGAGAGGTTCCACTCTGTTAGCTGAGTACACACATCACAAACTTGCTTCTCAGAATCCTTCTGTCTCGTTTTTATGGGAAGATATTTACTTTCTCACCGTAGGCATCAAAGCGCTTCAAATGTCCACATCCAGATACTCCAGAAAGAGTGTTTCAAACCTGCTCTATGAAAGGGAATCTTCAACTCTATGAGTTGAATGCAGACATCAGAAAGAAATTTCTGAGAATGCTGCTGTCTACCTTTTATTTGAATTACCGCTTCCAACGAAATCCTCCAAGCTATCCAAATATCCACTTGCAGATTCCACAAAAAGAGTGTTTCAAAACTGCTCTCTATCAATGGCAAAGTTCAACTCTGTTAGTTGAGGACACATATCACCAACAAGTTTCTGAGAATGCTTCTGTCTATTTTTTATGGGAAGATATTTCCTTTTTCAGCGTAGGCGTCAACGCGATCGAAATGTCCACTTCCACAAACTACAAAAAGAGTGTTTCAAACCTGCTCTATGAAAGGCCATGTTCATCTCTATGAGTTGAATGGAAATATCCGAAAGAAATTTCTGGGAATGCTGCTGTCTAGTGTTTATACGAATTCCCGCTTCCAACGAAATCCTCAAAGCAATCCAAATATCCACTTGCAGAATCCACAAAAAGAGTGTTTCAAAACTGCTCTATCAATAGAAAGGTTCAACTCTTTTAGTTGAGTACACACATCACGAACAAGTTTCTGAGAATGCTTCTGTCTGGCTTTTATTGGAAGACGTTTCCTTTTCACCAAAGGCATCAAAGCGCTCCAAATGTCCACTTCCAGATTCTTCCAAAAGAGTGTTTCAAACGTGGTCGAAGTAAGGGAATGTTCAACTCTGTGACTTGAATGCAAATATCACCAAGTAGTTTCTAATAGTGCTTCTGTCTACATTTTAGATGATGATATTCCCGTTTCCAACGAAATCGTTAGAGCTATCCAAATATCCAGTTACAGTTTCTACCAAAAGGGTGCTTCCAAATTGCTGCATCAAAAGAAAGGTTCAACTCTGTTAGTTGAGGACACACATCACAAAGAAGTTTGTGAGAATGCTTATCTGTCTAGATTTTGTATGAAGATATTCCCTTTTCCAACGATATCGTTAAATCAACCCAAATATCAATTTGCAGAATCCACAGAAATAGAGTCTCAAAGCTGCTCTGTAAAAAGAAAGGATACACTCTGTTAGCTGAGTACACATATCACAAACTTGTTTCTGAATATCCTTCTGTCTACTTTTTATGGGAAGATATTTACTTTTTCACCGTAGGTATCAAAGCGCTCCAAAAGTCCACATCCAGATACTACAGAAAGAGTGTTTCAAACCTGCTCTATGAAAGGGAATCTTCAACTCTATGAGTTGAATGCAGACATCAGAAAGTAATTTCTGAGAATGCTGCTGTCTACCTTTTATTTGAATTCCCGCTTCCAACGAAATCCTCCAAGCTATCAAAATATCCACTTGCATTTTCCACAACAAGAGTGTTTCAAAACTGCTCTATCAATAGAAATGTTCAACTCCTTTGGCTGGGTACACACATCACAAACAAGTTTCTGAGAATGCTTCTGTCTAGTTTTTATGGGAAGACATTCCCTTTTTCACCAAAGGCATCAAAGCGCTCCAAATGTCCACTTCCAGAGACTACAAAAAGAGTGTTTCAAACGTGCTCTAAGAAAGCGAATGTTCAACTCTGTGACTTGAATGCAGATATCACAAAGTAGTTTCTGAGAGTGCTTCTGTCTAGATTTTAGATGATGATATTCCCGTTTCCAACGAAATCATTAGAGCTATCCAAATATCCACTTACACTTTCTACAAAAAGAGTGTTTCCAAACTGCTGCATCAAAAGAGAGGTTCCACTCTGTTAGCTGAGTACACACATCACAAACTTGTTTCTCAGAATCCTTCTGTCTCGTTTTTATGGGAAGATATTTACTTTTGCACCGTAGGCATCAAAGCGCTCCAAATGTCCACATCCAGATACTCCAGAACGAGTGTTTCAAACCTGCTCTATGAAAGGGAATCTTCAACTCTATGAGTTGAATGCAGACATCAGAAAGAAATTTCTGAGAATGCTGCTGTCTACCTTTTATTTGAATTCCCGCTTCCAACGAAATCCTCCAAGCTATCCAAATATCCACTTGCAGATTCCACAAAAAGAGTGTTTCAAAACTGCTCTCTATCAATGGCAAAGTTCAACTCTGTTAGTTGAGGACACATATCACCAACAAGTTTCTGAGAATGCTTCTGTCTATTTTTTATGGGAAGATATTTCCTTTTTCACCGTAGGCGTCAAGGAGATCGAAATGTCCACTGCCACAAACTACAAAAAGAGTGTTTCAAACCTGCTCTATGAAAGGCCATGTTCATCTCTATGAGTTGAATGGAAATATCCGAAAGAAATATCTGGGAATGCTGCTGTCTAGTGTTTATACGAATTCCCGCTTCCAACGAAATCCTCAAAGCAATCCAAATATCCACTTGCAGAATCCACAAAAAGAGTGTTTCAAAACTGCTCTATCAATAGAAAGGTTCAACTCTTTTAGTTGAGTACACACTTCACGAACAAGTTTCTGAGAATGCTTCTGTCTGGCTTTTATTGGAAGACGTTTCCTTTTCAACAAAGGCATCAAAGCGCTCCAAATGTCCACTTCCAGATTCTTCCAAAAGAGTGTTTCAAACGTGCTCAAAGTAAGGGAATGTTCAACTCTGTCACTTGAATGCAGATATCACCAAGTAGTTTCTAATAGTGCTTCTGTCTAGATTTTAGATGATGATATTCCCGTTTCCAACGGAATCGTTAGAGCTAAGCAAATATCCAGTTACAGTTTCTACCAAAAGGGTGTTTCCAAATTGCTGCATCAAAAGAAAGGTTCAACTCTGTTAGTTGAGGACACACATCACAAAGAAGTTTGTGAGAATGCTCTGTCTAGATTTTGTATGACGATATTCCCTTTTCCAACGATATCGTTAAAGCAATCTAAATATCCATTTGCAGAATCCACAAAAATAGAGTTTCAAAGCTGCTCTGTAAAAAGAAAGGTTCCACTCTGTTAGCTGAGTACACACATCACAAACTTGTTTCTCAGAATCCTTTCTGTCTCGTTTTTATGGGAAGATATTTACTTTTTCACCGTAGGCATCAAAGCTCTCCAAATGTCCACATCCAGATACTCCAGAACGAGTGTTTCAAACCTACTCTATGAAAGGGAATCTTCAACTCTATGAGTTGAATGCAGACATCAGAAAGAAATTTCTGAGAATGCTGCTGTCTACCTTTTATTTGAATTCCCGCTTCCAACGAAATCCTCCAAACTATCCAAATATCCACTTGCATTTTCCACAACAAGAGTGTTTCAAAACTGCTCTATCAATAGAAACGTTCAACTCCTTTGGCTGGGTACACACATCACAAACAAGTTTCTGAGAATGCTTCTGTCTAGTTTTTATGGGAAGACGTTCCCTTTTTCACCAAAGCCATCAAAGCGCTCCAAATGTCCACTTCCAGACACTACAAAAAGAGTGTTTCAAACGTGCTCTAAGAAAGCGAATGTTCAACTCTGTGACTTGAATGCAGATATCACAAAGTAGTTTCTGAGAGTGCTTCTGTCTAGATTTTAGATGATGATATTCCCGTTTCCAACGAAATCATTAGAGCTATCCAAATATCCACTTACAGTTTCTGCAAAAAGAGTGTTTCCAAACTGCTGCATCAAAAGAGAGGTTCCACTCTGTTATCTGAGTACACACATCACAAACTTGTTTCTCAGAATCCTTCTGTCTCGTTTTTCTGGGAAGATATTTACTTTTTCATCGTAGGCATCAAAGCGCTCCAAATGTCCACATCCAGATACTCCAGAAAGAGTGTTTCAAACCTGCTCTATGAAAGGGAATCTTCAACTCTATGAGTTGAATGCAGACATCAGAAAGAAATTTCTGAGAATGCTGCTGTCTACCTTTTATTTGAATTCCCGCTTCCAACGAAATCCTCCAAGCTATCCAAATATCCACTTGCAGATTCCACAAAAAGAGTGTTTCAAAACTGCTCTCTATCAATGGCAAAGTTCAACTCTGTTAGTTGAGGACACATATCACCAACAAGTTTCTGAGAATGCTTCTGTCTATTTTTTATGGGAAGATATTTCCTTTTTCACCGTAGGCGTCAAGGCGATCGAAATGTCCACTTCCACAAACTACAAAAAGAGTGTTTCAAACCTGCTCTATGAAAGGCCATGTTCATCTCTATGAGTTGAATGGAAATATCCGAAAGAAATTTCTGGGAATGCTGCTGTCTAGTGTTTATACGAATTCCCGCTTCCAAAGAAATCCTCAAAGCAATCCAAATATCCACTTGCAGAATCCACAAAAAGAGTGTTTCAAAACTGCTCTATCAATAGAAAGGTTCAACTCTTTTAGTTGAGTACACACATCACGAACAAGTTTCTGAGAATGCTTCTGTCTGGCTTTTATTGGAAGACGTTTCCTTTTCACCAAAGGCATCAAAGCGCTCCAAATGTCCACTTCCAGATACTTCCAAAAGAGTGTTTCAAACGTGCTCGAAGTAAGGGAATGTTCAACTCTGTGACTTGAATGCAGATATCACCAAGTAGTTTCTAATAGTGCTTCTGTCTAGATTTTAGATGATGATATTCCCGTTTCCAACGAAATCGTTAGAGCTATCCAAATATCCACTTACAGTTTCTACCAAAAGGGTGTTTCCAAACTGCTGCATCAAAAGAAAGGTTCAACTCTGTTAGTTGAGGACACACATCACAAAGAAGTTTGTGAGAATACTTCTGTCTAGATTTTGTATGAAGATATTCCCTTTTCCAACGATGTCGTTAAATCAACCCAAATATCAATTTGCAGAATCCACAGAAATAGAATTTCAAAGCTGCTCTGTAAAAAGAAAGGATCCACTCTGTTAGCTGAGTACACACATCACAAACTTGTTTCTGAGAATCCTTCTGTCTCGTTTTTATGGGAAGATATATAATTTTCCACCGTAGGCATCAAAGCGCTCCAAATGTCCACATCCAGATACTCCAGAACGAGTGTTTCAAACCTGCTCTATGAAAGGGAATCTTCAACTCTATGAGTTGAATGCAGACATCAGAAAGAAATTTCTGAGAATGCTGCTGTCTACCTTTTATTTGAATTCCTGCTTCCAACGAAATCCTCCAAGCTATCCAAATATCCACCTGCATTTTCCACAAAAAGAGTGTTTCAAAACTGCTCTATCAATAGAAATGTTCAACTCCTTTGGCTGGGTACACACATCACAAACAAGTTTCTGAGAATGCTTCTGTCTAGTTTTTATGGGAAGACATTCCCTTTTTCACCAAAGGCATCAAAGCGCTCCAAATGTCCACTTCCAGACACTACAAAAAGAGTGTTTCAAACGTGCTCTAAGAAAGCGAATGTTAAACTCTGTGACTTGAATGCAGATATCACAAAGTAGTTTCTGAGAGGGCTTCTGTCTAGATTTTAGATGATGATATTCCCGTTTCCAACGAAATCATTAGAGCTATCCAAATATCCACTTACAGTTTCTATAAAAAGAGTGTTTCCAAACTGCTGCATCAAAAGAGAGGTTCCACTCTGTTAGCCGAGTACACACATCACAAACTTGTTTCTCAGAATCCTTCTGTCTCGTTTTTATGGGAAGATATTTACTTTTCCACCGTAGGCATCAAAGCGCTCCAAATGTCCACATCCAGATACTCCAGAAAGAGTGTTTCAAACCTGCTCTATGAAAGGGAATCTTCAACTCTATGAGTTGAATGCAGACATCAGAAAGAAATTTCCTGAGAATGCTGCTGTCTACCTTTTATTTGAATTCCCGCTTCCAACGAAATCCTCCAAGCTATCCAAATATCCACTTGCAGATTCCACAAAAAGAGTGTTTCAAAACTGCTCTCTATCAATGGCAAAGTTCAACTCTGTTAGTTGAGGACACATATCACCAACAAGTTTCTGAGAATGCTTCTGTCTATTTTTTATGGGAAGATATTTCCTTTTTCACCACAGGCGTCAAGGCGATCGAAATGTCCACTTCCACAAACTACAAAAAGAGTGTTTCAATATGAAAGGCCATGTTCATCTCTATGAGTTGAATGGAAATATCCGAAAGAAATTTCTGGGAATGCTGCTGTCTAGTTTTTATACGAATTCCCGCTTCCAACGAAATCCTCAAAGCAATCCAAATATCCACTTGCAGAATCCACAAAAAGAGTGTTTCAAAACTGCTCTATCAATAGAAAGGTTCAACTCTTTTAGTTGAGTACACACATCACAAACAAGTTTCTGAGAATGCTTCTGTCTGGCTTTTATTGGAAGACGTTTCCTTTTCACCAAAGGCATCAAAGCGCTCCAAATGTCCACTTCCAGATTCTTCCAAAAGAGTGTTTGAAACGTGCTCAAAGTAAGGGAATGTTCAACTCTGTGACTTGAATGCAGATATCACCAAGTAGTTTCTAATAGTGCTTCTGTCTAGATTTTAGATGATGATATTCCCGTTTCCAACGAAATCGTTAGAGCTATCCAAATATCCACTTACAGTTTCTACAAAAAGAGTGTTTCCAAACTGCTGCATCAAAAGAAAGGTTCAACTCTGTTAGTTGAGGACACACATCACAAAGAAGTTTTGTGAGAATGCTTCTGTCCAGAGTTTGTATGACAATATTCCCTTTTCCAACGATATCGTTAAAGCAATCTAAATATCAATTTGCAGAATCCACAAAAATAGAGTTTGAAAGCTGCTCTGTAAAAAGAAAGGTTCCACTCTGTTAGCTGAGTACACACATCACAAACTTGTTTCTGAGAATCCTTCTGTCTCGTTTTTATGGGAAGATATTTACTTTTTCACCGTAGGCATCAAAGCGCTCCAAATGTCCACATCCAGATACTCCAGAAAGAGTGTTTCAAACCTGCTCTATGAAAGGGAATCTTCAACTCTATGAGTTGAATGGAGACATCAGAAAGAAATTTCTGAGAATGCTCTGTTAGTTTATGGGAAGATATTTCCTTTTTCACCGTAGGCGTCAAGGCGATCGAAATGTCCACTTCCACAAACTACAAAAAGAGTGTTTCAAACCTGCTCTATGAAAGGCCATGTTCATCTCTATGAGTCGAATGGAAATATCCGAAAGAAATTTCTGGGAATGCTTCTGTCTATTTTTTATGGGAAGATATTTCCTTTTTCACCGTAGGCGTCAAGGCGATCGAAATGTCCACTTCCACAAACTACAAAAAGAGTGTTTCAAACCTGCTCTATGAAAGGCCATGTTCATCTCTATGAGTCGAATGGAAATATCCGAAAGAAATTTCTGGGAATGCTGCTGTCTAGTTTTTATACGAATTCCCGCTTCCAACGAAATCCTCAAAGCAATCCAAATATCCACTTGCAGAATCCACAAAAAGAGTGTTTCAAAACTGCTCTATCAATAGAAAGGTTCAACTCTTTTAGTTGAGTACACACATCACAAACAAGTTTCTGAGAATGCTTCTGTCTGGCTTTTATTGGAAGACGTTTCCTTTTCACCAAAGGCATCAAAGCGCTCCAAATGTCCACTTCCAGATTCTTCCAAAAGAGTGTTTGAAACGTGCTCAAAGTAAGGGAATGTTCAACTCTGTGACTTGAATGCAGATATCACCAAGTAGTTTCTAATAGTGCTTCTGTCTAGATTTTAGATGATGATATTCCCGTTTCCAACGAAATCGTTAGAGCTATCCAAATATCCACTTACAGTTGCTACAAAAAGAGTGTTTCCAAACTGCTGCATCAAAAGAAAGGTTCAACTCTGTTAGTTGAGGACACACATCACAAAGAAGTTTGTGAGAATGCTTTCTGTCTAGATTTTGTATGACGATATTCCCTTTTCCAACGATATCGTTAAAGCAATCTAAATATCAATTTGCAGAATCCACAAAAATAGAGTTTCAAAGCTGCTCTGTAAAAAGAGAGGTTCCACTCTGTTAGCTGAGTACACACATCACAAACTTGTTTCTGAGAATCCTGCTGTCTACCTTTTATTTGAATTCCCGCTTCCAACGAAATCCTCCAAGCTATCCAAATATCCACTTGCAGATTCCACAAAAAGAGTGTTTCAAAACTGCTCTCTATCAATGGCAAAGTTCAACTCTGTTAGTTGAGGACACATATCACCAACAAGTTTCTGAGAATGCTTCTGTCTATTTTTTATGGGAAGATATTTCCTTTTTCACCGTAGGCGTCAAGGCGATCGAAATGTCCACTTCCACAAACTACAAAAAGAGTGTTTCAAACCTGCTCTACGAAAGGCCATGTTCATCTCTATGAGTCGAATGGAAATATCCGAAAGAAATTTCTGGGAATGCTGCTGTCTAGTTTTTATACGAATTCCCGCTTCCAACGAAATCCTCAAAGCAATCCAAATATCCACTTGCAGAATCCACAAAAAGAGTGTTTCAAAACTGCTCTATCAATAGAAAGGTTCAACTCTTTTAGTTGAGTACACACATCACAAACAAGTTTCTGAGAATGCTTCTGTCTGGCTTTTATTAGAAGACGTTTCCTTTTCACCAAAGGCATCAAAGCGCTCCAAATGTCCACTTCCAGATTCTTCCAAAAGAGTGTTTCAAACGTGCTCAAAGTAAGGGAATGTTCAACTCTTTGACTTGAATGCAGATATCACCAAGTAGTTTCTAATAGTGCTTCTGTCTAGATTTTAGATGATGATATTCCCGTTTCCAACGAAATCGTTAGAGCTATCCAAATATCCACTTACAGTTTCTATAAAAAGAGTGTTTCCAAACTGCTGCATCAAAAGAAAAGTTCAACTCTGTTAGTTGAGGACACACATCACAAAGAAGTTTGTGAGAATGCTTCCTGTCTAGATTTTGTATGACCATATTCCCTTTTCCAGCGATATCATTAAAGCAATCTAAATATCCATTTGCAGAATCCACAAAAATAGAGTTTCAAAGCTGCTCTGTAAAAAGAAAGGTTCCACTCTGTTAGCTGAGTACACACATCACAAACTTGTTTCTCAGAATCCTCTGTCTCGTTTTTATGGGAAGATATTTACTTTTTCACCGTAGGCATCAAAGCGCTCCAAATGTCCACATCCAGATACTCCAGAAAGAGTGTTTCAAACCTGCTCTATGAAAGGGAGTCTTCAACTCTATGAGTTGAATGCAGACATCAGAAGGAAATTTTCTGAGAATGCTGGCTGTCTACCTTTTATTTGAATTCCCGCTTCCAACGAAATCCTCCAAGCTATCCAAATATCCACCTGCATTTTCCACAAAAAGAGCGTTTCAAAACTGCTCTATTAATAGAAATGTTCAACTCCTTTGGCTGGGTACACACATCACAAACAAGTTTCTGAGAATGCTTCTGTCTAGTTTTTATGGGAAGATATTCCCTTTTTCACCAAAGGCATCAAAGCGCTCCAAATGTCCACTTCCAGACACTACAAAAAGAGTGTTTCCAACGTGCTCTAAGAAAGCGAATGTTCAACTCTGTGACTTGAATGCAGATATCACAAAGTAGTTTCTGAGAGGGCTTCTGTCTAGATTTTAGATGATGATATTCCCGTTTCCAACGAAATCATTAGAGCTATCCAAATATCCACTTACAGTTTCTACAAAAAGAGTGTTTCCAAACTGCTGCATCAAAAGAAAAGTTCAACTCTGTTAGTTGAGGACACACATCACAAAGAAGTTTGTGAGAATGCTTCTGTCTCGTTTTTATGGGAAGATATTTACTTTTTCACCGTAGGCATCAAAGCGCTCCAAATGTCCACATCCAGATACTCCAGAAAGAGTGTTTCAAACCTGCTCTATGAAAGGGAATCTTCAACTCTATGAGTTGAATGCAGACATCAGAAAGTAATTTCTGAGAATGCTGCTGTCTACCTTTTATTTGAATTCCCGCTTCCAACGAAATCCTCCAAGCTATCCAAATATCCACTTGCAGATTCCACAAAAAGAGTGTTTCAAAACTGCTCTCTATCAATGGCAAAGTTCAACTCTGTTAGTTGAGGACACATATCACCAACAAGTTTCTGAGAATGCTTCTGTCTATTTTTTATGGGAAGATATTTCCTTTTTCACCGTAGGCGTCAAGGCGATCGAAATGTCCACTTCCACAAACTACAAAAAGAGTGTTTCAAACCTGCTCTATGAAAGGCCATGTTCATCTCTATGAGTTGAATGGAAATATCCGAAAGAAATTTCCTGGGAATGCTGGCTGTCTAGTTTTTATACGAATTCCCGCTTCCAACGAAATCCTCAAAGCAATCCAAATATCCACTTGCAGAATCCACAAAAAGAGTGTTTCAAAACTGCTCTATCAATAGAAAGGTTCAACTCTTTTAGTTGAGTACACACATCACAAACAAGTTTCTGAGAATGCTTCTGTCTGGCTTTTATTGGAAGACGTTTCCTTTTCACCAAAGGCATCAAAGCGCTCCAAATGTCCACTTCCAGATTCTTCCAAAAGAGTGTTTGAAACGTGCTCAAAGTAAGGGAATGTTCAACTCTGTGACTTGAATGCAGATATCACCAAGTAGTTTGCTAATAGTGCTTCTGTCTAGATTTTAGATGATGATATTCCCGTTTCCAACGAAATCGTTAGAGCTATCCAAATATCCCCTTACAGTTGCTACAAAAACAGTGTTTCCAAACTGCTGCATCAAAAGAAAGGTTCAACTCTGTTAGTTGAGGACACACATCACAAAGAAGTTTGTGAGAATGCTTCTGTCCAGATTTTGTATGACGATATTCCCTTTTCCAACGATATCGTTAAAGCAATCTAAATATCCATTTGCAGAATCCACAAAAATAGAGTTTCAAAGCTGCTCTGTAAAAAGAAAGGTTCCACTCTGTTAGCTGGAGTACACACATCACAAACTTGTCTCTCAGAATCCTTCTGTCTCGTTTTTATGGGAAGATATTTACTTTTTCACCGTAGGCATCAAAGCGCTCCAAATGTCCACATCCAGATACTCCAGAAAGAGTGTTTCAAACCTGCTCTAGGAAAGGGAATCTTCAACTCTATGAGTTGAATGCAGACATCAGAAAGAAATTTCTGAGAATGCTGCTGTCTACCTTTTATTTGAATTCCTGCTTCCAACGAAATCCTCCAAGCTATCCAAATATCCACTTGCATTTTCCACAAAAAGAGTGTTTCAAAACTGCTCTATCAATAGAAATGTTCAACTCCTTTAGCTGGGTACACACATCACAAACAAGTTTCTGAGAATGCTTCTGTCTAGTTTTTATGGGAAGACATTCCCTTTTTCACCAAAGGCATCAAAGCGCTCCAAATGTCCACTTCCAGACACTACAAAAAGAGTGTTTCAAACGTGCTCTAAGAAAGCGAATATTCAACTCTGTGACTTGAATGCAGATATCACAACGTAGTTTCTGAGAGGGCTTCTGTCTAGATTTTAGATGATGATATTCCCGTTTCCAACGAAATCATTAGAGCTATCCAAATATCCACTTACAGTTTCTACAAAAAGAGTGTTTCCAAACTGCTGCATCAAAAGAGAGGTTCCACTCTGTTAGCTGAGTACACACATCACAAAGTTGTTTCTGAGAATCCTTCTGTCGCGTTTTTATGGGAAGATATTTACTTTTTCACCGTAGGCATCAAAGCGCTCCAAATGTCCACATCCAGATACTCCAGAAAGAGTGTTTCAAACCTGCTCTATGAAAGGGAATCTTCAACTCTATGAGTTGAATGCAGACATCAGAAAGAAATTTCTGAGAATGCTGCTGTCTACCTTTTATTTGAATTCCCGCTTCCAACGAAATCCTCCAAGCTATCCAAATATCCACTTGCAGATTCCACAAAAAGAGTGTTTCAAAACTGCTCTCTATCAATGGCAAAGTTCAACTCTGTTAGTTGAGGACACATATCACCAACAAGTTTCTGAGAATGCTTCTGTCTATTTTTTATGGGAAGATATTTCCTTTTTCACCGTAGGCGTCAAGGCGATCGAAATGTCCACTTCCACAAACTACAAAAAGAGTGTTTCAAACCTGCTCTATGAAAGGCGATGTTCATCTCTATGAGTTGAATGGAAATATCCGAAAGAAATTTCTGGGAATGCTGCTGTCTAGTTTTTATATGAATTCCCGCTTCCAACGAAATCCTCAAAGCAATCCAAATATCCACTTGCAGAATCCACAAAAAGAGTGTTTCAAAACTGCTCTATCAATAGAAAGGTTCAACTCTTTTAGTTGAGTACACACATCACAACCAAGTTTCTGAGAATGCTTCTGTCTGGCTTTTATTGGAAGACGTTTCCTTTTCACCAAAGGCATCAAAGCGCTCCAAATGTCCACTTCCAGATTCTTCCAAAAGAGTGTTTCAAACGTGCTCGAAGTAAGGGAATGTTCTACTCTGTGACTTGAATGCAGATATCACCAAGTAGTTTCTAATAGTGCTTCTGTCTACATTTTAGATGATGATATTCCCGTTTCCAACGAAATCGTTAGAGCTATCCAAATATCCAGTTACAGTTTCTACCAAAAGGGTGTTTCCAAATTGCTGCATCAAAAGAAAGGTTCAACTCTGTTAGTTGAGGACACACATCACAAAGAAGTTTGCGAGAATGCTTCTGTCTAGATTTTGTATGACGATATTCCCTTTTCCAACGATATCGTTAAAGCAATCTAAATATCAATTTGCAGAATCCACAAAAATAGAGTTACAAAGCTGCTCTGTAAAAAGAAAGGTTCCACTCTGTTAGCTGAGTACACACATCACAAACTTGTTTCTGAGAATCCTGCTGTCTACCTTTTATTTGAATTCCCGCTTCCAACGAAATCCTCCAAGCTATCCAAATATCCACTTGCATTTTCCACAAAAAGAGTGTTTCAAAACTGCTCTATCAATAGAAATGTTCAACTCCTTTGGCTGGGTACACACATCACAAACAAGTTTCTGAGAATGATTCTGTCTAGTTTTTATGGGAAGACATTTCCTTTTTCACCAAAGGCATCAAAGAGCTCCAAATGTCCACTTCCAGATACTACAAAAAGAGTGTTTCAAAAGTGCTCTAAGAAAACGAATGTTCAACTCTGTGACTTGAAAGCAGATATCACAAAGTAGTTTCTGAGAGTGCTTCTGTCTAGATTTTACATGATGATATTCCCGTTTCCAACGAAATCATTAGAGCTATCCAAATATCCACTTACAGTTTCTACAAAAAGAGTGTTTCCAAACTGCTGCATCAAAAGAGAGGTTCCACTCTGTTAGCTGAGTACACACATCACAAACTTGTTTCTGAGAATCCTTCTGTCTCGTTTTTATGGGAAGATTATACTTTTTCACCGTAGGCATCAAAGCGCTCCAAATGTCCACATCCAGATACTACAGAAAGAGTGTTTCAAACCTGCTCTATGAAAGGGAATGTTCAACTCTATGAGTTGAATGCAGACATCAGAAAGAAATTTCTGAGAATGCTGCTGTCTACCTTTTATTTGAATTCCCGCTTCCAACGAAATCCTCCAAGCTATCCAAATATCCACTTGCAGATTCCACAAAAAGAGTGTTTCAAAACTGCTCTCTATCAATGGCAAAGTTCAACTCTGTTAGTTGAGGACACATATCACCAACAAGTTTCTGAGAATGCTTCTGTCTATTTTTTATGGGAAGATATTCCCTTTTTCACCATAGGCGTCAAGGCGATCAAAATGTCCACTTCCACAAACTACAAAAAGAGTGTTTCAAACCTGCTCTATGAAAGGCCATGTTCATCTCTATGAGTTGAATGGAAATATCCGAAAGAAATTTCTGAAAATGCTGCTGTCTAGTTTTTATACGAATTCCCGCTTCCAACGAAATCCTCAAAGCAATCCAAATATCCACTTGCAGAATCCACAAAAAGAGTGTTGCAAAACTGCTCTATCAATAGAAAGGTTCAACACTTTTAGTTGAGTACACACATCACAAAGAAGTTTCTGAGAATGCTTCTTTCTGGCTTTTATTGGAAGATGTTTCCTTTTCACCAAAGGCATCAAAGAGCTCCAAACGTCCACTTCCAGATTCTTACAAAAGAGTGTTTCAAACGTGCTCAAAGTAAGGGAATGTTCAACTCTGTGACTTGCATGCAGATATCACAAGTAGTTTCTAATAGTGCTTCTGTCTAGATTTTAGATGATGATATTCCCGTTTCCAACGAAATCGTTAGAGCTATCCAAATATCCAGTTACAGTTTCTACCAAAAGGGTGTTTCCAAACTGCTGCATCAAAAGAAAGGTTCAAGTCTGTTAGTTGAGGACACACATCACAAAGAAGTTTGTGAGAATGCTTCTGTCTAGATTTTGTATGACGATATTCCCTTTTCCAACGATATCGTTAAAGCAATCTAAATATCAATTTGCAGAATCCACAAAAATAGACTTTCAAAGCTGCTCTGTAAAAAGAAAGGTTCCACTCTGTTAGCTGAGTACACACATCACAAACTTGTTTCTGAGAATCCTTCTGTCTCGTTTTTCTGGGAAGATATTTACTTTTTCACCGTAGGCATCAAAGCGCTCCAAATGTCCACATCCAGATACTCCAGAAAGAGTGTTTCAAACCTGCTCTATGAAAGGGAATCTTCAACTCTATGAGTTGAATGCAGACATCAGAAAGAAATTTCTGAGAATGCTGCTGTCTACCTTTTATTTGAATTCCCGCTTCCAACTAAATCCTCCAAACTATCCAAATATCCACTTGCAGATTCAGGAAAAAGAGTGTTTCAAAACTGCTCTCTATCAATGGCAAAGTTCAACTCTGTTAGTTGAGGACACATATCACCAACAAGTTTCTGAGAATGCTTCTGTCTATTTTTTATGGGAAGATATTTCCTTTTTCACCGTGGGCGGTCAAGGCGATCGAAATGTCCACTTCCACAAACTACAAAAAGAGTGTTTCAAACCTGCTCTATGAAAGGCCATGTTCATCTCTATGAGTCGAATGGAAATATCCGAAAGAAATTTCTGGGAATGCTGCTGTCTAGTTTTTATACGAATTCCCGCTTCCAACGAAATCCTCAAAGCAATCCAAATATCCACTTGCAGAATCCACAAAAAGAGTGTTTCAAAACTGCTCTATCAATAGAAAGGTTCAACTCTTTTAGTTGAGTACACACATCACAAACAAGTTTCTGAGAATGCTTCTGTCTGGCTTTTATTGGAAGACGTTTCCTTTTCACCAAAGGCATCAAAGCGCTCCAAATGTCCACTTCCAGATTCTTCCAAAAGAGTGTTTGAAACGTGCTCAAAGTAAGGGAATGTTCAACTCTGTGACTTGAATGCAGATATCACCAAGTAGTTTCTAGTAGTGCTTCTGTCTAGATTTTAGATGATGATATTCCCGTTTCCAACGAAATCGTTAGAGCTATCCAAATATCCACTTACAGTTTCTACCAAAAGGGTGTTTCCAAACTGCTGCATCAAAAGAAAGGTTCAACTCTGTTAGTTGAGGACACACATCACAAAGAAGTTTGTCAGAATGCTTCTGTCCAGATTTTGTATGATGATATTCCCTTTTCCAACGATATCGTTAAAGCAATCTAAATATCCATTTGCAGAATCCACAAAAATAGAGTTTCAAAGCTGCTCTGTAAAAAGAAAGGTTCCACTCTGTTAGCTGAGTACACACATCACAAACTTGTTTCTGAGATTCCTCTGTCTCGTTTTTATGGGAAGATATTTACTTTTTCACCGTAGGCATCAAAGCGCTCCAAATGTCCACATCCAGATACTCCAGAAAGACTGTTTCAAACCTGCTCAATGAAAGGGAATCTTCAACTCTATGAGTTGAATGCAGACATCAGAAAGAAATTTCTGAGAATGCTGGCTGTCTACCTTTTATTTGAATTCCGGCTTCCAACGAAATCCTCCAAGCTATCCAAATATCCACTTGCATTTTCCACAACAAGAGTGTTTCAAAACTGCTCTATCAATAGAAATGTTCAACTCCTTTGGCTGGGTACACACATCACAAACAAGTTTCTGAGAATGCTTCTGTCTAGTTTTTATGGGAAGACATTCCCTTTTTCACCAAAGACATCAAAGCGCTCCAAATGTCCACTTCCAGACACTACAAAAAGAGTGTTTCAAACGTGCTCTAAGAAAGCAGAATGTTCAACTCTGTGACTTGAATGCAGATATCACAAAGTAGTTTCTGAGAGGGCTTCTGTCTAGATTTTAGATGATGATATTCCCGTTTCCAACGAAATCATTAGAGCTATCCAAATATCCACTTACAGTTTCTACAAAAAGAGAGTTTCCAAACTGCTGCATCAAAAGAGAGGTTCCACTCTGTTAGCTGAGTACACACATCACAAACTTGTTTCTCACAATCCTTCTGTCTCGTTTTTATGGGAAGATATTTACTTTTTCACCGTAGGCATCAAAGCGCTCCAAATGTCCACATCCAGATACTCCAGAAAGAGTGTTTCAAACCTGCTCTACGAAAGGGAATCTTCAACTCTATGAGTTGAATGCAGACATCAGAAAGAAATTTCTGAGAATGCTGCTGTCTACCTTTTATTTGAATTCCCGCTTCCAACGAAATCTTCCAACCTATCCAAATATCCACCTGCATTTTCCACAAAAAGAGTGTTTCAAAACTGCTCTATCAATAGAAATGTTCAACTCCTTTAGCTAGGTACACACATCACAAACAAGTTTCTGAGAATGCTTCTGTCTATTTTTTATGGGAAGATATTTCCTTTTTCACCGTAGGCGTCAAGGCGATCGAAATGTCCACTTCCACAAACTACAAAAAGAGTGTTTCAAACCTGCTCTATGAAAGGCCATGTTCATCTCTATGAGTTGAATGGAAATATCCGAAAGAAAATTCTGGGAATGCTGCTGTCTAGTGTTTATACGAATTCCCGCTTCCAACGAAATCCTCAAAGCAATCCAAATATCCACTTGCAGAATCCACAAAAAGAGTGTTTCAAAACTGCTCTATCAATAGAAAGGTTCAACTCTTTTAGTTGAGTACACACATCACAAACAAGTTTCTGAGAATGCTTCTGTCTGGCTTTTATTGGAAGACGTTTCCTTTTCACCAAAGGCATCAAAGCGCTCCAAATGTCCACTTCCAGATTCTTCCAAAAGAGTGTTTCAAACGTGCTCAAAGTAAGGGAATGTTCAACTCTGTGACTTGAATGCAGATATCACCAAGTAGTTTCTAATAGTGCTTCTGTCTAGATTTTAGATGATGATATTCCCGTTTCCAACGAAATCGTTAGAGCTAAGCAAATATCCAGTTACAGTTTCTACAAAAAGGGTGTTTCCAAATTGCTGCATCAAAAAAAAGGTTCAACTCTGTTAGTTGAGGACACACACCACAAAGAAGTTTGTGAGAATGCTTCTGTCTAGATTTTGTATGACGATATTCCCTTTTCCAACGATATCGTTAAAGCAATCTAAATATCAATTTGCAGAATCCAGAAAAATAGAGTTTCAAAGCTGCTCTGTAAAAAGAAAGGTTCCACTCTGTTAGCTGAGTACACACATCACAAACTTGTTTCTGAGAATCCTTCTGTCTCGTTTTTATGGGAAGATATTTACTTTTTCACCGTAGGCATCAAAGCGCTCCAAATGTCCACATCCAGATACTCCAGAAAGACTGTTTCAAACCTGCTCTATGAAAGGGAATCTTCAACTCTATGAGTTGAATGCAGACATCAGAAAGAAATTTCTGAGAATGCTGCTGTCTACCTTTTATTTGAATTCCCGCTTCCAACGAAATCCTCCAAGCTATACAAATATCCACTTGCATTTTCCACAAAAAGAGGGTTTCAAAACTGCTCTCTATCAATGCAAAATTCAACTCCTTTAGCTGGGTACACACATCACAAACAAGTTTCTGGGAATGCTTCTGTCTAGTTTTTATGGGAACACATTCCCTTTTTCACCAAAGGCATCAAAGCGCTCCAAATGTCCACTTCCAGACACTACAAAAAGAGTGTTTCCAACGTGCTCTAAGAAAGCGAATGTTCAACTCTGTGACTTGAATGCAGATATCACAAAGTAGTTTCTGAGAGGGCTTCTGTCTAGATTTTAGATGATGATATTCCCGTTTCCAACGAAATCATTAGAGCTATCCAAATATCCACTTACAGTTTCTACAAAAAGAGTGTTTCCAAACTGCTGCATCAAAAAGAGAGGTTCCACTCTGTTAGCTGAGTACACACATCACAAACTTGTTTCTCAGAATCCTTCTGTCTCGTTTTTATGGGAAGATATTTACTTTCTCACCGTAGGCATCAAAGCGCTCCAAATGTCCACATCCAGATACTCCAGAAAGAGTGTTTCAAACCTGCTCTATGAAAGGGAATGTTCAACTCTATGAGTTGAATGCAGACATCAGAAAGAAATTTCTGAGAATGCTGCTGTCTACCTTTTATTTGAATTCCCGCTTCCAACGAAATCCTCCAAGCTATCCAAATATCCACTTGCAGATTCCACAAAAAGAGTGTTTCAAAACTGCTCTCTATCAATGGCAAAGTTCAACTCTGTTAGTTGAGGACACATATCACCAACAAGTTTCTGAGAATGCTTCTGTCTATTTTTTATGGGAAGATATTTCCTTTTTCACCGTAGGCGTCAAGGCGATCGAAATGTCCACTTCCACAAACTACAAAAAGAGTGTTTCAAACCTGCTCTATGAAAGGCCATGTTCATGTCTATGAGTCGAATGGAAATATCCGAAAGAAATTTCTGGGAATGCTGCTGTCTAGTTTTTATACGAATTCCCGCTTCCAACGAAATCCTCAAAGCAATCCAAATATCCACTTGCAGAATCCACAAAAAGAGTGTTTCAAAACTGCTCTATCAATAGAAAGGTTCAACTCTTTTAGTTGAGTACACACATCACAAACAAGTTTCTGAGAATGCTTCTGTCTGGCTTTTATTGGAAGACGTTTCCTTTTCAACAAAGGTATCAAAGCGCTCCAAATGTCCACTTCCAGATTCTTCCAAAAGAGTGTTTCAAACGTGCTCAAAGTAAGGGAATGTTCAACTCTGTGACTTGAATGCAGATATCACCAAGTAGTTTGTAATAGTGCTTCTGTCTAGATTTTAGATGACGATATTCCCGTTTCCAGCGAAATCGTTAGAGCTATCCAAATATCCACTTACAGTTTCTACAAAAAGAGTGTTTCCAAACTGCTGCATCAAAAGAAAGGTTCAACTCTGTTAGTTGAGGACACACATCACAAAGAAGTTTGTGAGAATGCTTCTGTCCAGATTTTGTATGACGATATTCCCTTTTCCAACGATATCGTTAAAGCAATCTAAATATCAATTTGCAGAATCCACAAAAATAGAGTTTCAAAGCTGCTCTGTAAAAAGAAAGGTTCCACTCAGTTAGCTGAGTACACACATCACAAACTTGTTTCAGAGAATCCTTCTGTCTCGTTTTTCTGGGAAGATATTTACTTTTTCACCATAGGCATCAAAGCGCTCCAAATGTCCACATCCAGATACTCCAGAAAGAGTGTTTCAAACCTGCTCTATGAAAGGGAATCTTCAACTCTATGAGTTGAATGCAGACATCAGAAAGAAATTTCTGAGAATGCTGCTGTCTACCTTTTATTTGAATTCCCGCTTCCAACGAAATCCTCCAAGCTATCCAAATATCCACCTGCAATTTCCACAACAAGAGTGTTTCAAAACTGCTCTATCAATAGAAATGTTCAACTCCTTTGGCTGGGTACACACATCACAAACAAGTTTCTGAGAATGCTTCTGTCTACTTTTTAAGGGAAGACATTTCCTTTTTCACCAAAGGCATCAAAGCGTTCCAAATGTCCACTTCCAGATTCTACAAAAAGAGTGTTTCAAACCTGCTCTAAGTAAGGGAGTTTTCAACTCTGTGACTGGAATGCAGATATCACAATGTAGTTTCTGAGACTGCTTCTGTGTATACTTTAGATGAAGATATTCCCGTTTCCAACGATATCGTTAGACCTATCCAAATATCCACTTACAGTTTCTACAAAAAGAGTGTTTCCAAACTGCTGCATCTAAAGAAAGGTTCAACTCTGTTAGTTGAGGACACACATCACAAAGAATTTTCTGAGAAAGCTTCTGTCTCGTTTTTATGGGAAGATTATACTTTTTCGCCGTAGGCATCAAAGCGCTCCAAATGTCCACATCCAGATACTCCAGAAAGAGTGTTTCAAACCTGCTCTATGAAAGGGAATGTTCAACTCTATGAGTTGAATGCAGACATCAGAAAGAAATTTCTGAGAATGCTGCTGTCTACCTTTTATTTGAATTCCCGCTTCCAACGAAATCCTCCAAGCTATCCAAATATCCACTTGCAGATTCCACAAAAAGAGTGTTTCAAAACTGCTCTCTATCAATGGCAAAGTTCAACTCTGTTAGTTGAGGACACATATCACCAACAAGTTTCTGAGAATGCTTCTGTCTATTTTTTATGGGAAGATATTTCCTTTTTCACCGTAGGCGTCAAGGCGATCGAAATGTCCACTTCCACAAACTACAAAAAGAGTGTTTCAAACCTGCTCTATGAAAGGCCATGTTCATCTCTATGAGTCGAATGGAAATATCCGAAAGAAATTTCTGGGAATGCTGCTGTCTAGTTTTTATACGAATTCCCGCTTCCAACGAAATCCTCAAAGCAATCCAAATATCCACTTGCAGAATCCACAAAAAGAGTGTTTCAAAACTGCTCTATCAATAGAAAGGTTCAACTCTTTTAGTTGAGTACACACATCACAAACAAGTTTCTGAGAATGCTTCTGTCTGGCTTTTATTGGAAGATGTTTCCTTTTCACCAAAGGCATCAAAGCGCTCCAAATGTCCACTTCCAGATTCTTCCAAAAGAGTGTTTCAAACGTGCTCAAAGTAAGGGAATGTTCAACTCTGTGACTTGAATGCAGATATCACCAAGTAGTTTCTAATAGTGCTTCTGTCTAGATTTTAGATTATGATATTACCGTTTCCAACGAAATCGTTAGAGCTATCCAAATATCCACTTACAGTTTCTACCAAAAGGGTGTTTCCAAACTGCTGCATCAAAAGAAAGGTTCAACTCTGTTAGTTGAGGACACACATCACAAAGAAGTTTGTGAGAATGCTTCTGTCTAGATTTTGTATGACGATATTCCCTTTTCCAACGATATCGTTAAAGCAATCTAAATATCAATTTGCAGAATCCACAAAAATAGAGTTTCAAAGCTGCTCTGTAAAA
Source organism: Homo sapiens (assembly GCF_000001405.40). Taxonomy (NCBI): domain Eukaryota; kingdom Metazoa; phylum Chordata; class Mammalia; order Primates; family Hominidae; genus Homo; species Homo sapiens. The sequence goes on along the minus strand of NC_000014.9, from coordinate 17,674,396 downwards.
AGAAAGGTTCCACTCTGTTAGCTGAGTACACACATCACAAACTTGATTCTGAGAATCCTTCTGTCTCGTTTTTATGGGAAGATATTTACTTTTCCACCGTAGGCATCAAAGCGCTCCAAATGTCCACATCCAGATACTCCAGAACAAGTGTTTCAAACCTGCTCTATGAAAGGGAATCTTCAACTCTATGAGTTGAATGCAGACATCAGAAAGAAATTTCTGAGAATGCTGCTGTCTACCTTTTATTTGAATTCCCGCTTCCAACGAAATCCTCCAAGCTATCCAAATATCCACCTGCATTTTACACAAAAAGAGTGTTTCAAAACTGCTCTATCAATAGAAATGTTCAACTCCTTTGGCTGGGTACACACATCACAAACAAGTTTCTGAGAATGCTTCTGTCTAGTTTTTATGGGTAGACATTCCCTTTTTCACCAAAGGAAACAAAGCGCTCCAAATGTCCACTTCCAGACACTACAAAAAGAGTGTTTCAAACGTGCTCTAAGAAAGCGAATGTTCAACTCTGTGACTTGAATGCAGATATCACAAAGTAGTTTCTGAGAGTGCTTCTGTCTAGATTTTAGATGATGATATTCCCGTTTCCAACGAAATCATTAGAGCTATCCAAATATGCACTTACAGTTTCTACAAAACGAGTGTTTCCAAACTGCTGCATCAAAAGAGAGGTTCCAATCTGTTAGCTGAGTACACACATCACAAACTTGTTTCTCAGAATCCTTCTGTCTCGTTTTTATGGGAAGATTATACTTTTTCACCGTAAGCATCAAAGCGCTCCAAATGTCCACATCCAGATACTCCAGAAAGAGTGTTTCAAACCTGCTCTATGAAAGGGAATCTTCAACTCTATGAGTTGAATGCAGACATCAGAAAGAAATTTCTGAGAATGCTGCTGTCTACCTTTTATTTGAATTCCCGCTTCCAACGAAATCCTCCAAGCTATCCAAATATCCACTTGCAGATTCCACAAAAAGAGTGTTTCAAAACTGCTCTCTATCAATGGCAAAGTTCAACTCTGTTAGTTGAGGACACATATCACCAACAAGTTTGTGAGAATGCTTCTGTCTATTTTTTATGGGAAGATATTTCCTTTTTCACCGTAGGCGTCAAGGCGATCGAAATGTCCACTTCCACAAACTACAAAAAGAGTGTTTCAAACCTGCTCTATGAAAGGCCATGTTCATCTCTATGAGTCGAATGGAAATATCCGAAAGAAATTTCTGGGAATGCTGCTGTCTAGTTTTTATGCGAATTCCCACTTCCAACGAAATCCTCAAAGCAATCCAAATATCCACTTGCAGAATCCACAAAAAGAGTGTTTCAAAACTGCTCTATCAATAGAAAGGTTCAACTCTTTTAGTTGAGTACACACATCACAAACAAGTTTCTGAGAATGCTTCTGTCTGGCTTTTATTGGAAGACGTTTCCTTTTCACCAAAGGCATCAAAACGTTCCAAATGTCCACTTCCAGATTCTTCCAAAAGAGTGTTTCAAACGTGCTCAAAGTAAGGGAATGTTCAACACTGTGACTTGAATGCAGATATCACCAAGTAGTTTCTAATAGTGCTTCTGTCTAGATTTTAGATGATGATATTCCCGTTTCCAACGAAATCGTTAGAGCTATCCAAATATCCACTTACAGTTTCTACAAAAACAGTGTTTCCAAACTGCTGAATCAAAAGAAAAGTTCAACTCTGTTAGTTGAGGACACACATCACAAAGAAGTTTGTGAGAATGCTTCAGTCCAGATTTTGTATGACGATATTCCCTTTTCCAACGATATCGTTAAAGCAATCTAAATATCAATTTGCAGAATCCACAAAAATAGAGTTTCAAAGCTGCTCTGTAAAAAGAAAGGTTCCACTCTGTTAGCTGAGTACACACATCACAAACTTGTTTCTGAGAATCCTTCTGTCTCGTTTTTATGGGAAGATATTTACTTTTTCACCGTAGGCATCAAAGCGCTCCAAATGTCCACATCCAGATACTCCAGAAAGAGTGTTTCAAACCTGCTCTATGAAAGGGAATCTTCAACTCTATGAGTTGAATGGAGACATCAGAAAGAAATTTCTGAGAATGCTGCTGTCTACCTTTTATTTGAATTCACGCTTCCAACGAAATCCTCCAAGCTATCCAAATATCCACTTGCATTTTCCACAAAAAGAGTGTTTCAAAACTGCTCTATCAATAGAAATGTTCAGCTCCTTTAGCTGGGTACACACATCACAAACAAGTTTCTGAGAATGCTTCTGTCTAGTTTTTATGGGAAGACATTTCCTTTTTCACCAAAGGCATCAAAGAGCTCCAAATGTCCACTTCCAGATACGACAAATAGAGTGTTTCAAAAGTGCTCTAAGAAAGCGAATGTTCAACTCTGTGACTTGAATGCAGATATCAAAAAGTAGTTTCTGAGAGTCCTTCTGTCTAGATTTTAGATGATGATATTCCCGTTTCCAACGAAATCATTAGAGCTATCCAAATATCCACTTACAGTTTCTACAAAAAGAGTGTTTCCAAACTGCTGCATCAAAAGAGAGGTTCCACTCTGTTAGCTGAGTACACACATCACAAACTTGTTTCTGAGAATCCTTCTGTGTCGTTTTTATGGGAAGATATTTACTTTTTCACCGTAGGCATCAAAGCGCTCCAAATGTCCACATCCAGATACTCCAGAAAGAGTGTTTCAAACCTGCTCTATGAAAGGGAATCTTCAACTCTATGAGTTGAATGCAGACATCAGAAAGAAATTTCTGAGAATGCTGCTGTCTACCTTTTATTTGAAATCCCGCTTCCAACGAAATCCTCCAAGCTATCCAAATATCCACTTGCAGATTCCACAAAAAGAGTGTTTCAAAACTGCTCTCTATCAATGGCAAAGTTCAACTCTGTTAGTTGAGGACACATATCACCAACAAGTTTCTGAGAATGCTTCTGTCTATTTTTTATGGGAAGATATTTCCTTTTTCACCGTAGGCGTCAAGGCGATCGAAATGTCCACTTCCACAAACTACAAAAAGAGTGTTTCAAACCTGCTCTATGAAAGGCCATGTTCATCTCTATGAGTCGAATGGAAATATCCGAAAGAAATTTCTGGGAATGCTGCTGTCTAGTTTTTATACGAATTCCCGCTTCCAACGAAATCCTCAAAGCAATCCAAATATCCACTTGCAGAATCCACAAAAAGAGTGTTTCAAAACTGCTCTATCAATAGAAAGGTTCAACTCTTTTAGTTGAGTACACACATCACAAACAAGTTTCTGAGAATGCTTTCTGTCTGGCTTTTATTGGAAGACGTTTCCTTTTCACCAAAGGCATCAAAGCGCTCCAAATGTCCACTTCCAGATTCTTCCAAAAGAGTGTTTGAAACGTGCTCAAAGTAAGGGAATGTTCAACTCTGTGACTTGAATGCAGATATCACCAAGTAGTTTGCTAATAGTGCTTTCTGTCTAGATTTTAGATGATGATATTCCCGTTTCCAACGAAATCGTTAGAGCTATCCAAATATCCACTTACAGTTGCTACAAAAACAGTGTTTCCAAACTGCTGCATCAAAAGAAAGGTTCAACTCTGTTAGTTGAGGACACACATCACAAAGAAGTTTGTGAGAATGCTTCTGTCCAGATTTTGTATGACGATATTCCCTTTTCCAACGATATCGTTAAAGCAATCTAAATATCAATTTGCAGAATCCACAAAAATAGAGTTTCAAAGCTGCTCTGTAAAAAGAAAGGTTCCACTCTGTTAGCTGAGTACACACATCACAAACGTGTTTCTGAGAATCCTTCTGTCTCGTTTTTCTGGGAAGATATTTACTTTTTCACCGTAGGCATCAAAGCGCTCCAAATGTCCACATCCAGATACTCCAGAAAGAGTGTTTCAAACCTGCTCTATGAAAGAGAATCTTCAACTCTATGAGTTGAATGCAGACATCAGAAAGAAATTTCTGAGAATGCTGCTGTCTACCTTTTATTTGAATTCCCGCTTCCAACGAAATCCTCCAAGCTATCCAAATATCCACTTGCAGATTCCACAAAAAGAGTGTTTCAAAACTGCTCTCTATCAATGGCAAAGTTCAACTCTGTTAGTTGAGGACACATATCACCAACAAGTTTCTGAGAATGCTTCTGTCTATTTTTTATGGGAAGATATTTCCTTTTTCACCGTAGGCGTCAAGGCGATCGAAATGTCCACTTCCACAAACTACAAAAAGAGTGTTTCAAACCTGCTCTATGAAAGGCCATGTTCATCTCTATGAGTCGAATGGAAATATCCGAAAGAAATTTCTGGGAATGCTGCTGTCTAGTTTTTATACGAATTCCCGCTTCCAACGAAATCCTCAAAGCAATCCAAATATCCACTTGCAGAATCCACAAAAAGAGTGTTTCAAAACTGCTCTATCAATAGAAAGGTTCAACTCTTTTAGTTGAGTACACACATCACAAACAAGTTTCTGAGAATGCTTCTGTCTGGCTTTTATTGGAAGACGTTTCCTTTTCACCAAAGGCATCAAAGCGCTCCAAATGTCCACTTCCAGATTCTTCCAAAAGAGTGTTTGAAACGTGCTCAAAGTAAGGGAATGTTCAACTCTGTGACTTGAATGCAGATATCACCAAGTAATTTCTAATAGTGCTTCTGTCTAGATTTTAGATGATGATATTCCCGTTTCCAACGAAATCGCTAGAGCTATCCAAATATCCAGTTACAGTTTCTACCAAAAGGCTGTTTCCAAATTGCTGCATCAAAAGAAAGTTTCAACTCTGTTAGTTGAGGACACACATCACAAAGAAGTTTGTGAGAATGCTTCTGTCTAGATTTTGTATGACGATATTCCCTTTTCCAACGATATCGTTAAAGCAATCTAAATATCAATTTGCAGAATCCACAAAAATAGAGTTTCAAAGCTGCTCTTTAAAAAGAAAGGTTCCACTCTGTTAGCTGAGTACACACATCACAAACTTGTTTCTGAGAAACCTGCTGTCTACCTTTTATTTGAATTCCCGCTTCCAACGAAATCCTCCAAGCTATCCAAATATCCACTTGCAGATTCCACAAAAAGAGTGTTTCAAAACTGCTCTCTATCAATGGCAAAGTTCATCTCTGTTAGTTGAGGACACATATCACCAACAAGTTTCTGAGAATGCTTCTGTCTATTTTTTATGGGAAGATATTTCCTTTTTCACCGTAGGCGTCAAGGCGATCGAAATGTCCACTTCCACAAACTACAAAAAGAGTGTTTCAAACCTGCTCTATGAAAGGCCATGTTCATCTCTATGAGTCGAATGGAAATATCCGAAAGAAATTTCTGGGAATGCTGCTGTCTAGTTTTTATACGAATTCCCGCTTCCAACGAAATCCTCAAAGCAATCCAAATATCCACTTGCAGAATCCACAAAAAGAGTGTTTCAAAACTGCTCTATCAATAGAAAGGTTCAACTCTTTTAGTTGAGTACACACATCACAAACAAGTTTCTGAGAATGCTTCTGTCTGGCTTTTATTGGAAGACGTTTCCTTTTCAACAAAGGCATCAAAGCGCTCCAAATGTCCACTTCCAGATTCTTCCAAAAGAGTGTTTCAAACGTGGTCGAAGTAAGGGAATGTTCAACTCTGTGACTTGAATGCAGATATCACCAAGTAGTTTCTAATAGTGCTTCTGTCTAGATTTTAGATGATGATATTCCCGTTTCCAACGAAATCGTTAGAGCTATCCAAATATCCACTTACAGTTTCTACCAAAAGGGTGTTTCCAAACTGCTGCATCAAAAGAAAAGTTCAACTCTGTTAGTTGAGGACACACGTCACAAAGCTGTTTGTGAGAATGCTTCTGTCTAGATTTTGTATGACGATATTCCCTTTTCCAACGATATCGTTAAAGCAATCTAAGTATCCATTTGCAGAATCCACAAAAATAGAGTTTCAAAGCTGCTCTGTAAAAAGAAAGGTTCCACTCTGTTAGCTGAGTACACACATCACAAACTTGTTTCTCAGAATCCTTCTGTCTCGTTTTTCTGGGAAGATATTTACTTTTTCACCGTGGGCATCAAAGCGCTCCAAATGTCCACATCCAGATACTCCAGAAAGAGTGTTTCAAACCTGCTCTATGAAAGGGAATCTTCAACTCTATGAGTTGAATGCAGACATCAGAAAGAAATTTCTGAGAATGCTGCTGTCTACCTTTTATTTGAATTCCCGCTTCCAACGAAATCCTCCAAGCTATCCAAATATCCACTTGCAGATTCCACAAAAAGAGTGTTTCAAAACTGCTCTCTATCAATGGCAAAGTTCAACTCTGTTAGTTGAGGACACATATCACCAACAAGTTTCTGAGAATGCTTCTGTCTATTTTTTATGGGAAGATATTTCCTTTTTCACCGTAGGCGTCAAGGCGATCGAAATGTCCACTTCCACAAACTACAAAAAGAGTGTTTCAAACATGCTCTATGAAAGGCCATGTTCATCTCTATGAGTTGAATGGAAATATCCGAAAGAAATTTCTGGGAATGCTGCTGTCTAGTTTTTATACGAATTCCCGCTTCCAACGAAATCCTCAAAGCAATCCAAATATCCACTTGCAGAATCCACAAAAAGAGTGTTTCAAAACTGCTCTATCAATAGAAAGGTTCAACTCTTTTAGTTGAGTACACACATCACAAACAAGTTTCTGAGAATGCTTCTGTCTGGCTTTTATTGGAAGACGTTTCCTTTTCACACAAGGCATCAAAGCGCTCCAAATGTCCACTTCCAGATTCTTCCAAAAGAGTGTTTCAAACGTGCTCAAAGTAAGGGAATGTTCAACTCTGTGACTTGAATGCAGATATCACTAAGTAGTTTCTAATAGTGCTTCTGTCTAGATTTTAGATGATGATATTCCCGTTTCCAACGAAATCGTTAGAGCTATCCAAATATCCAGTTACAGTTTCTACCAAAAGGGTGTTTCCAAATTGCTGCATCAAAAGAAAGGTTCAACTCTGTTAGTTGAGGACACACATCACAAAGAAGTTTGTGAGAGTGCTTCTGTCCAGATTTTGTATGACGGTATTCCCTTTTCCAACGATATCGTTAAAGCAATCTAAATATCAATTTGCAGAATCCACAACAATAGAGTTTCAAAGCTGCTCTGTAAAAAGAAAGGTTCCACTCTGTTAGCTGAGTACACACATCACAAACTTGTTTCTGAGAATCCTTCTGTCTCGTTTTTATGGGAAGATATTTACTTTTCCACCGTAGGCATCAAAGCGCTCCAAATGTCCACATCCAGATACTCCAGAAAGAGTCTTTCAAACCTGCTCTATGAAAGGGAATCTTCAACTCTATGAGTTGAATGCAGACATCAGAAAGAAATTTCTGAGAATGCTGCTGTCTACCTTTTATTTGAATTCCCGCTTCCAACGAAATCCTCCAAGCTATCCAAATATCCACTTGCAGATTCCACAAAAAGAGTGTTTCAAAACTGCTCTCTATCAATGGCAAAGTTCAACTCTGTTAGTTGAGGACACATATCACCAACAAGTTTCTGAGAATGCTTCTGTCTATTTTTTATGGGAAGATATTTCCTTTTTCACCGTAGGCGTCAAGGCGATCGAAATGTCCACTTCCACAAACTACAAAAAGAGTGTTTCAAACCTGCTCTATGAAAGGCGATGTTCATCTCTATGAGTTGAATGGAAATATCCGAAAGAAATTTCTGGGAATGCTGCTGTCTAGTTTTTATATGAATTCCCGCTTCCAACGAAATCCTCAAAGCAATCCAAATATCCACTTGCAGAATCCACAAAAAGAGTGTTTCAAAACTGCGCTATCAATAGAAAGGTTCAACTCTTTTAGTTGAGTACACACATCACAAACAAGTTTCTGAGAATGCTTCTGTCTGGCTTTTATTGGAAGACGTTTCCTTTTCACCAAAGGCATCAAAGCGCTCCAAATGTCCACTTCCAGATTCTTCCAAAAGAGTGTTTCAAACGTGCTCTAAGAAAGCGAATGTTCAACTCTGTGACTTGAATGCAGATATCACAAAGTAGTTTCTGAGAGGGCTTCTGTCTACATTTTAGATGATGATATTCCCTTTTCCAACGAAATCGTTAGAGCTATCCAAATATCCAGTTACAGTTTCTACCAAAAGGGTGTTTCCAAATTGCTGCAACAAAAGAAAGGTTCAACTCTGTTAGTTGAGGACACACATCACAAAGAAGTTTGTGAGAATGCTTCTGTCTAGATTTTGTATGACGATATTCCCTTTTCCAACGATATCGTTAAAGCAATCTAAATATCAATTTGCAGAATCCACAAAACTAGAGTTTCAAAGCTGCTCTGTAAAAAGAAAGGTTCCACTCTGTTAGCTGAGTACACACATCACAAACTTGTTTCTGAGAATCCTTCTGTCTCGTTTTTATGGGAAGATATTTACTTTTCCACCGTAGGCATCAAAGCGCTCCAAATGTGCACATCCAGATACTCCAGAAAGAGTGTTTCAAACCTGCCCTATGAAAGGGAATCTTCAACTCTATGAGTTGAATGCAGACATCAGAAAGAAATTTCTGAGAATGCTGCTGTCTACCTTTTATTTGAATTCCCGCTTCCAACGAAATCCTCCAAGCTATCCAAATATCCACTTGCATTTTCCACAAAAAGAGTGTTTCAAAACTGCTCTATCAATAGAAATGTTCATCTCCTTTAGCTGGGTACACACATCACAAACAAGTTTCTGAGAATGCTTCTGTCTAGTTTTTATGGGAAGACATTCCCTTTTTCACCAAAGGCATCAAAGCGCTCCAAATGTCCACTTCCAGACACTACAAAAAGAGTGTTTCAAACGTGCTCTAAGAAAGCGAAGGTTCAACTCTGTGACTTGAATGCAGATATCACAAAGTAGTTTCTGAGAGGGCTTCTGTCTAGATTTTAGATGATGATATTCCCGTTTCCAACGAAATCATTAGAGCTATCCAAATATCCACTTACAGTTTCTACAAAAAGAGTGTTTCCAAACTGCTGCATCAAAAGAGAGGTTCCACTCTGTTAGCTGAGTACACACATCACAAACTTGTTTCTCAGAATCCTTCTGTCTCGTTTTTATGGGAAGATATTTACTTTTTCACCGTAGGCATCAAAGCGCTCCAAATGTCCACATCCAGATACTCCAGAAAGACTGTTTCAAACCTGCTCCATGAAAGGGAATCTTCAACTCTATGAGTTGAATGCAGACATCAGAAAGAAATTTCTGAGAATGCTGCTGTCTACCTTTTATTTGAATTCCCGCTTCCAACGAAATCCTCCAAGCTATCCAAATATCCACCTGCATTTTCCACAAAAAGAGTGTTTCAAACCTGCTCTATCAATAGAAATGTTCAACTCCTTTGGCTGGGTACACACATCACAAACAAGTTTCTGACAATGCTTCTGTCTAGTTTTTATGGGTAGACATTCCCTTTTTCACCAAAGGAATCAAAGCGCTCCAAATGTCCACTTCCAGACACTACAAAAAGAGTGTTTCAAACGTGCTCTAAGAAAGCGAATGTTCAACTCTGTGACTTGAATGCAGATATCACACAGTAGTTTCTGAGAGTGCTTCTGTCTAGATTTTAGATGATGATATTCCCGTTTCCAACGAAATCATTAGAGCTATCCAAATATCCACTTACAGTTTCTACAAAAAGAGTGTTTCCAAACTGCTGCATCAAAAGAGAGGTTCCACTCCGTTAGCTGAGTACACACATCACAAACTTGTTTCTCAGAATCCTTATGTCTCGTTTTTATGGGAAGATATTTACTTTTTCACCGTAGGCATCAAAGCGCTCCAAATGTCCACATCCAGATACTCCAGAAAGAGTGTTTCAAACCTGCTCTATGAAAGGGAATCTTCAACTCTATGAGTTTAATGCAGACATCAGAAAGAAATTTCTGAGAATGCTGCTGTCTACCTTTTATTTGAATTCCCGCTTCCAACGAAATCCTCCAAGCTATCCAAATATCCACTTGCATTTTCCACAAAAAGAGTGTTTCAAAACTGCTCTATCAATAGAAATGTTCAACTCCTTTAGCTGGGTACACACATCACAAACATGTTTCTGAGAATGCTTCTGTCTACTTCTTAAGGGAAGACATTTCCTTTTTAACCAAAGGCATCAAAGCGCTCCAAATGTCCACTTCCAGATTCTACAAAAAGAGTGTTTCAAACCTGCTCTAAGTAAGGGAGTTTTCAACTCTGTGACTGGAATGCAGATATCACAAAGTAGTTTCTGAGACTGATTCTGTGTATACTTTAGATGAAGGTATTCTCGTTTCCAACGATATCGTTAGACCTACCCAAATATCCACTTACAGTTTCTACAAAAAGAGTGTTTCCAAACTGCTGCATCTAAAGAAAGGTTCAACTCTGTGAGTTGAGGACACACATCACAAAGAAGTTTCTGAGAAAGCTTCTGTCTAGATTTTGTATGAAGATATTCCCTTTTCCATCGATATCGTTAAATCAACCCAAATATCAATTTGCAGAATCCACAGAAATAGAGTTTCAAAGCTGCTCTGTAAAAAGAAAGGATCCACTCTGTTAGCTGAGTACACACATCACAAACTTGTTTCTGAGAATCCTGCTGTCTACCTTTTATTTGAATTCCCGCTTCCAACGAAATCCTCCAAGCTATCCAAATATCCACTTGCAGATTCCACAAAAAGAGTGTTTCAAAACTGCTCTCTATCAATGGCAAAGTTCAACTCTGTTAGTTGAGGACACATATCACCAACAAGTTTCTGAGAATGCTTCTGTCTATTTTTTATGGGAAGATATTTCCTTTTTCACCGTAGGCATCAAGGCGATCGAAATGTCCACTTCCACAAACTACAAAAAGAGTGTTTCAAACCTGCTCTATGAAAGGCCATGTTCATCTCTATGAGTCGAATGGAAATATCCGAAAGAAATTTCTGGGAATGCTGCTGTCTAGTTTTTATACGAATTCCCGCTTCCAACGAAATCCTCAAAGCAATCCAAATATCCACTTGCAGAATCCACAAAAAGAGTGTTTCAAAACTGCTCTATCAATAGAAAGGTTCAACTCTTTTAGTTGAGTACACACATCACAAACAAGTTTCTGAGAATGCTTCTGTCTGGCTTTTATTGGAAGACGTTTCCTTTTCACCAAAGGCATCAAAGCGCTCCAAATGTCCACTTCCAGATTCTTCCAAAAGAGTGTTTGAAACGTGCTCAAAGTAAGGGAATGTTCAACTCTGTGACATGAATGCAGATATCACCAAGTAGTTTCTAATAGTGCTTCTGTCCAGATTTTACAGGATGATATTCCCGTTTCCAACGAAATCGTTAGAGCTATCCAAATATCCACTTACAGTTTCTACAAAAAGAGTGTTTCCAAACTGCTGCATCAAAAGAAAGGTTCAACTCTGTTAGTTGAGGACACACATCACAAAGAAGTTTGTGAGAATCCTTCTGTCTAGATTTTGTATGACGATATTCCCTTTTCCAACGATATCGTTAAAGCAATCTAAATATCCATTTGCAGAATCCACAAAAATAGAGTTTCAAAGCTGCTCTGTAAAAAGAAAGGTTCCACTTCTGTTAGCTGAGTACACACATCACAAACTTGTTTCTCAGAATCCTTCTGTCTCGTTTTTATGGGAAGTATATTTACTTTTCCACCGTAGGCATCAAAGCGCTCCAAATGTCCACATCCAGATACTCCAGAAAGAGTGTTTCAAACCTGCTCTATGAAAGGGAATCTTCAACTCTATGAGTTGAATGCAGACATCAGAAAGAAATTTCTGAGAATGCTGCTGTCTACCATTTATTTGAATTCCCGCTTCCAACGAAATCTTCCAACCTATCCAAATATCCACCTGCATTTTCCACAAAAAGAGTGTTTCAAAACTGCTCTATCAATAGAAATGTTCAACTCCTTTAGCTAGGTACACACATCACAAACAAGTTTCTGAGAATGCTTCTGTCTAGTTTTTATGGGAAGACATTCCCTTTTTCACCAAAGGCATCAAAGCGCTCCAAATGTCCACTTCCAGACACTACAAAAAGAGTGTTTCAAACGTGCTCTAAGAAAGCGAATGTTCAACTCTGTGACTTGAATGCAGATATCACAAAGTAGTTTTTGAGAGGGCTTCTGTCTAGTATTTTAGATGATGATATTCCCGTTTCCAACGAAATCATTAGAGCTATCCAAATATCCACTTACAGTTTCTACAAAAAGAGTGTTTCCAAACTGCTGCATCAAAAGAGAGGTTCCACTCTGTTAGCTGAGTACACACATCACAAACTTGTTTCTGAGAATCCTTCTGTCTAGTTTTTATGGGAAGATATTTACTTTTTCACCGTAGGTATCAAAGCGCTCCAAATGTCCACATCCAGATACTACAGAAAGAGTGTTTCAAACCTGCTCTATGAAAGGGAATCTTCAACTCTATGAGTTGAATGCAGACATCAGAAAGTAATTTCTGAGAATGCTGCTGTCTACCTTTTATTTGAATTCCCGATTCCAACGAAATCCTCCAAGCTATCCAAATATCCACTTGCATTTTCCACAAAAAGAGTTTTTCAAAACTGCTCTATCAATAGAAATGTTCAACTCCTTTAGCTGGGTACACACATCACAAACAAGTTTCTGAGAATGCTTCTGTCTAGTTTTTATGGGAAGACGTTCCCTTTTTCACCAAAGGCATCAAAGCGCTCCAAATGTCCACTTCCAGGCACTACAAAAAGAGTGTTTCCAACGTGCTCTAAGAAAGCGAATGTTCAACTCTGTGACTTGAATGCAGATATCACAAAGTAGTTTCTGAGAGGGCTTCTGTCTAGATTTTACATGATGATATTCCCGTTTCCAACGAAATCATTAGAGCTATCCAAATATCCACTTACAGTTTCTACAAAAAGAGTGTTTCCAAACTGCTGACATCAAAAGAGTGGTTCCACTCTGTTAGCTGAGTACACACATCACAAACTTGTTTCTGAGAATCCTTCTGTCTCGTTTTTATGGGAAGATATTTACTTTTTCACCGTAGGCATCAAAGCGCTCCAAATGTCCACATCCAGATACTACAGAAAGAGTATTTCAAACCTGCCCTATGAAAGGGAATGTTCAACTCTATGAGTTGAATGCAGACATCAGAAAGAAATTTCTGAGAATGCTGCTGTCTACCTTTTATTTGAATTCCCGCTTCCAACGAAATCCTCCAAGCTATCCAAATATCCACTTGCAGATTCCGGAAAAAGAGTGTTTCAAAACTGCTCTCTATCAATGGCAAAGTTCAACTCTGTTAGTTGAGGACACATATCACCAACAAGTTTCTGAGAATGCTTCTGTCTATTTTTTATGGGAAGATATTTCCTTTTTCACCGTAGGCGTCAAGGCGATCGAAATGTCCACTTCCACAAACTACAAAAAGAGTGTTTCAAACCTGCTCTATGAAAGGCCATGTTCATCTCTATGAGTTGAATGGAAATATCCGAAAGAAATTTCTGGGAATGCTGCTGTCTAGTTTTTATACGAATTCCCGCTTCCAACGAAATCCTCAAACAATCCAAATATCCACTTGCAGAATCGACAAAAAGAGTGTTTCAAAACTGCTCTATCAATAGAAAGGTTCAACTCTTTTAGTTGAGTACACACATCACGAACAAGTTTCTGAGAATGCTTCTGTCTGGCTTTTATTGGAAGACGTTTCCTTTTCACCAAAGGCATCAAAGCGCTCCAAATGTCCACTTCCAGATTCTTCCAAAAGAGTGTTTCAAACGTGCTCAAAGTAAGGGAATGTTCAACTCTGTGACTTGAATGCAGATATCACCAAGTAGTTTCTAATAGTGCTTCTGTCTAGATATTAGATGATGATATTCCCGTTTCCAACGAAATCGTTAGAGCTATCCAAATATCCAGTTACAGTTTCTACCAAAAGGGTGTTTCCAAATTGCTGCATCAAAAGAAAGGTTCAACTCTGTTAGTTGAGGACACACATCACAAAGAAGTTTGTGAGAATGCTTCTGTCTAGATTTTGTATGACGATATTCCCTTTTCCAACGATATCGTTAAAGCAATCTAAATATCAATTTGCAGAATCCACAAAAATAGAGTTTCAAAGCTGCTCTGTAAAAAGAAAGGTTCCACTCTGTTAGCTGAGTACACACATTACAAACTTGTTTCTCAGAATCCTCTGTCTCGTTTTTATGGGAAGATATTTACTTTTCCACCGTAGGCATCAAAGCGCTCCAAATGTCCACATCCAGATACTCCAGAAAGAGTGTTTCAAACCTGCTCTATGAAAGGGAATCTTCAACTCTATGAGTTGAATGCAGACATCAGAAAGAAATTTCTGAGAATGCTGGCTGTCTACCTTTTATTTGAATTCCCTCTTCCAACGAAATCCTCCAAGCTATCCAAATATTCACTTGCATTTTCCACAAAAAGAGTGTTTCAAAACTGCTCTATCAATAGAAATGTTCAACTCCTTTAGCTGGGTACACACATCACAAACAAGTTTCTGAGAATGCTTCTGTCTAGTTTTTATGGGAAGACATTCCCTTTTTCACCAAAGACATCAAAGCGCTCCAAATGTCCACTTCCAGACACTACAAAAAGAGTGTTTCCAACGTGCTCTAAGAAAGCGAATGTTCAACTCTGTGACTTGAATGCAGATATCACAAAGTAGTTTCTGAGAGTGCTTCTGTCTAGATTTTAGATGATGATAATCCCGTTTCCAACAAAATCATTAGAGCTATCCAAATATCCACTTACAGTTTCTACAAAAAGAGTGTTTCCAAACTGCTGCATCAAAAGAGAGGTTCCACTCTGTTAGCTGAGTACACACATCACAAACTTGTTTCTCAGAATCCTTCTGTCTCGTTTTTATGGGAAGATATTTACTTTTTCACCGTAGGCATCAAAGCGCTCCAAATGTCCACATCCAGATACTCCAGAAAGAGTGTTTCAAACCTGCTCTATGAAAGGGAATCTTCAACTCTATGAGTTGAATGCAGACATCAGAAAAAATTTCTGAGAATGCTGCTGTCTACCTTTAATTTGAATTCCCGCTTCCAACGAAATCCTCCAAGCTATCCAAATATCCACTTGCAGATTCCACAAAAAGAGTGTTTCAAAACTGCTCTCTATCAATGGCAAAGTTCAACTCTGTTAGTTGAGGACACATATCACCAACAAGTTTCTGAGAATGCTTCTGTCTATTGTTTATGGGAAGATATTTCCTTTTTCACCGTAGGCGTCAAGGCGATCGAAATGTCCACTTCCACAAACTACAAAAAGAGTGTTTCAAACCTGCTCTATGAAGGGCCATGTTCATCTCTATGAGTTGAATGGAAATATCCGAAAGAAATTTCTGGGAATGCTGCTGTCTAGTGTTTATACCGAATTCCCGCTTCCAACGAAATCCTCAAAGCAATCCAAATATCCACTTGCAGAATCCACAAAAAGAGTGTTTCAAAACTGCTCTATCAATAGAAAGGTTCAACTCTTTTAGTTGAGTACACACATCACGAACAAGTTTCTCAGAATGCTTCTGTCTGGCTTTTATTGGAAGACGTTTCCTTTTCACCAAAGGCATCAAAGCGCTCCAAATGTCCACTTCCAGATTCTTCCAAAAGAGTGTTTCAAACGTGCTCAAAGTAAGGGAATGTTCAACTCTGTGACTTGAATGCAGATATCACCAAGTAGTTTCTAATAGTGCTTCTGTCTAGATTTTAGATGATGATATTCCCGTTTCCAACGAAATCGTTAGAGCTATCCAAATATCCACTTACAGTTTCTACAAAAAGAGTGTTTCCAAACTGCTGCATCAAAAGAAAAGTTCAACTCTGTTAGTTGAGGACACACATCACAAAGAAGTTTGTGAGAATGCTTCTGTCTAGATTTTGTATGACCATATTCCCTTTTCCAGCGATATCATTAAAGCAATCTAAATATCCATTTGCAGAATCCACAAAAATAGAGTTCCAAAGCTGCTCTGTAAAAAGAAAGGTTCCACTCTGTTAGCTGAGTACACACATCACAAACTTGTTTCTCAGAATCCTTCTGTCTCGTTATTATGGGAAGATATTTACTTTTTCACCGTAGGCATCAAAGCGCTCCAAATGTCCACATCCAGATACTCCAGAAAGAGTGTTTCAAACCTGCTCTATGAAAGGGAATCTTCAACTCTATGAGTTGAATGCAGACATCAGAAAGAAATTTCTGAGAATGCTGCTGTCTACCTTTTATTTGAACTCCCGCTTCCAACGAAATCCTCCAAGCTATCCAAATATCCACTTGCATTTTCCACAAAAAGAGTGCTTCAAAACTGCTCTATCAATAAATGTTCAACTCCTTTAGCTGGGTGCACACATCACAAACAAGTTTCTGCGAATGCTTCTGTCTAGTTTTTATGGGAAGACATTCCCTTTTTCACCAAAGGCATCAAAGCGCTCCAAATGTCCACTTCCAGACACTACAAAAAGAGTGTTTCAAACGTGCTCTAAGAAAACGAATGTTCAACTCTGTGACTTGAATGCAGATATCACAGAGTAGTTTCTGAGAGGGCTTTCTGTCTAGATTTTAGATGATGATATTCCCGTTTCCAACGAAATCATTAGAGCTATCCAAATATCCACTTACAGTTTCTACAAAAAGAGTGTTTCCAAACTGCTGCTTCAAAAGAGAGGTTCCACTCTGTTAGCTGAGTACACACATCACAAACTTCTTTCTGAGAATCCTTCTGTGTCGTTTTTATGGCAAGATATTTACTTTTTCACCGTAGGCATCAAAGCGCTCCAAATGTCCACATCCAGATACTCCAGAAAGAGTGTTTCAAACCTGCTCTATGAAAGGGAATCTTCAACTCTATGAGTTGAATGCAGACATCAGAAAGAAATTTCTGAGAATGCTGCTGTCTACCTTTTATTTGAATTCCCGCTTCCAACGAAATCCTCCAAGCTATCCAAATATCCACTTGCAGATTCCACAAAAAGAGTGTTTCAAAACTGCTCTCTATCAATGGCAAAGTTCAACTCTGTTAGTTGAGGACACATATCACCAACAAGTTTCTGAGAATGCTTCTGTCTATTTTTTATGGGAAGATATTTCCTTTTTCAGCGTAGGCGTCAAGGCGATCGAAATGTCCACTTCCACAAACTACAAAAAGAGTGTTTCAAACCTGCTCTATGAAAGGCCATGTTCATCTCTATGAGTTGAATGGAAATATCCGAAAGAAATTTCTGGGAATGCTGCTGTCTAGTGTTTATACGAATTCCCGCTTCCAACGAAATCCTCTAAGCAATCCAAATATCCACTTGCAGAATCCACAAAAAGAGTGTTTCAAAACTGCGCTATCAATAGAAAGGTTCAACTCTTTTAGTTGAGTACACACATCACGAACAAGTTTCTGAGAATGCTTCTGTCTGGCTTTTATTGGAAGACGTTTCCTTTTCACCAAAGGCATCAAAGCGCTCCAAATGTCCACTTCCAGATTCTTCCAAAAGAGTGTTTCAAACGTGCTCAAAGTAAGGGAATGTTCAACTCTGTGACTTGAATGCAGATATCACCAAGTAGTTTCTAATAGTGCTTCTGTCTACATTTTAGATGATGATATTCCCGTTTCCAACGAAATCGTTAGAGCTATCCAAATATCCAGTTACAGTTTCTACCAAAAGGGTGTTTCCAAATTGCTGCATCAAAAGAAAGGTTCAACTCTGTTAGTTGAGGACACACATCACAAACAAGTTTGTGAGAATGCTTCTGTCTAGATTTTGTATGACGATATTCCCTTTTCCAACGATATCGTTAAAGCAATCTAAATATCAATTTGCAGAATCCAGAAAAATAGAGTTTCAAAGCTGCTCTGTAAAAAGAAATGTTCCACTCTGTTAGCTGAGTACACACATCACAAACTTGTTTCTGAGAATCCTTCTGTCTCGTTTTTATGGGAAGATATTTCCTTTTCCACCGTAGGCATCAAAGCGCTCCAAATGTCCACATCCAGATACTCCAGAAAGAGTGTTTCAAACCTGCTCTATGAAAGGGAATCTTCAACTCTATGAGTTGAATGCAGACATCAGAAAGAAATTTCTGAGAATGCTGCTGTCTACCTTTTATTTGAATTCCTGCTTCCAACGAAATCCTCCAAGCTATCCAAATATCCACCTGCATTTTCCACAACAAGAGTGTTTCAAAACTGCTCTATCAATAGAAATGTTCAACTCCTTTGGCTGGGTACACACATCACAAACAAGTTTCTGAGAATGCTTCTGTCTAGTTTTTATGGGAAGACATTCCCTTTTTCACCAAAGGCATCAAAGCGCTCCAAATGTCCACTTCCAGACACTACAAAAAGAGTGTTTCAAACGTGCTCTAAGAAAGCGAATGTTCAACTCTGTGACCTGAATGCAGATATCACAAAGTAGTTTCTGAGAGTGCTTCTGTCTAGATTTTAGTTGATGATATTCCCATTTCCAACGAAATCATTAGAGCTATCCAAATATCCACTTACAGTTTCTACAAAAAGAGTGTTTCCAAACTGCTGCATCAGAAGAGAGGTTCCACTCTGTTAGCTGAGTACACACATCACAAACTTGTTTCTGAGAATCCTTCTGTCTCGTTTTTATGGGAAGATATTTACTTTTTCTTCGTAGGCCTCAAAGCGCTCCAAATGTCCACATCCAGATACTACAGAAAGAGTATTTCAAACCTGCCCTATGAAAGGGAATGCTCAACTCTATGAGTTGAATGCAGACATCAGAAAGAAATTTCTGAGAATGCTGCTGTCTACCTTTTATTTGAATTACCGCTTCCAACGAAATCCTCCAAGCTATCCAAATATCCACTTGCAGATTCCACAAAAAGAGTGTTTCAAAACTGCTCTCTATCAATGGCAAAGTTCAACTCTGTTAGTTGAGGACACATATCACCAACAAGTTTCTGAGAGTGCTTCTGTCTATTTTTTATGGGAAGATATTTCCTTTTTCACCGTAGGCGTCAAGGCGATCGAAATGTCCACTTCCACAAACTACAAAAAGAGTGTTTCAAACCTGCTCTATGAAAGGCCATGTTCATCTCTATGAGTTGAATGGAAATATCCGAAAGAAATTTCTGGGAATGCTGCTGTCTAGTTTTTATATGAATTCCCGCTTCCAACGAAATCCTCAAAGCAATCCAAATATCCACTTGCAGAATCCACAAAAAGAGTGTTTCAAAACTGCTCTATCAATAGAAAGGTTCAACTCTTTTAGTTGAGTACACACATCACAAACAAGTTTCTGAGAATGCTTCTGTCTGGCTTTTATTGGAAGACGTTTCCTTTTCACCAAAGGCATCAAAGCGCTCCAAATGTCCACTTCCAGATTCTTCCAAAAGAGTGTTTCAAACGTGGTCGAAGTAAGGGAATGTTCAACTCTGTGACTTGAATGCAGATATCACCAAGTAGTTTCTAATAGTGTTTCTGTCTAGATTTTAGATGATGATATTCCCGTTTCCAACGAAATCGTTAGATCTATCCAAATATCCAGTTACAGTTTCTACAAAAAGAGTGTTTCCAAACTGCTGCATCAAAAGAAAGGTTCAACTCTGTTAGTTGAGGACACACATCACAAAGAAGTTTGTGAGAATGCTTCTGTCTAGATTTTGTATGACGGTATTCCCTTTTCCAACGATATCGTTAAAGCAATCTAAATATCAATTTGCAGAATCCACAACAATAGAGTTTCAAAGCTGCTCTGTAAAAAGAAAGGTTCCACTCTGTTAGCTGAGTACACACATCACAAATTTGTTTCTGAGAATCCTTCTGTCTCGTTTTTATGGGAAGATATTTACTTTTTCACCGTAGGCATCAAAGCGCTCCAAATGTCCACATCCAGATACTCCAGAAAGAGTGTTTCAAACCTGCTCTATGAAAGGGAATCTTCAACTCTATGAGTTGAATGCAGACATCAGAAAGAAATTTCTGAGAATGCTGGCTGTCTACCTTTTATTTGAATTCCCGCTTCCAACGAAAACCTCCAAGCTATCCAAATATCCACTTGCAGATTCCACAAAAAGAGTGTTTCAAAACTGCTCTATCAATAGAAATGTTCAACTCCTTTCGCTGGGTTCACACATCACAAACAAGTTTCTGAGAATGCTTCTGTCTAGTTTTTATGGAAAGACATTTCCTTTTTCACCAAAGGCATCAAAGAGCTCCAAATGTCCACTTCCAGATACTACAAAAAGAGTGTTTCAAAAGTGCTCTAAGAAAGCGAATGTTCAACTCTGTGACTTGAATGCAGATATCACAAAGTAGTTTCTGAGAGTGCTTCTGTCTAGATTTTAGATGATGATATTCCCGTTTCCAACGAAATCATTAGAGCTTTCCAAATATCCACTTACAGTTTCTACAAAAAGAGTGTTTCCAAACTGCTGCGTCAAAAGAGAGGTTCCACTCTGTTAGCTGAGTACACACATCACAAACTTGTTTCTGAGAATCCTTCTGTCTAGTTTTTATGGGAAGATATTTACTTTTTCACCGTAGGCATCAAAGCGTTACAAATGTCCACATCCAGATAGTACAGAAAGAATGTTTCAAACCTGCTCTATGAAAGGGAATGTTCAACTCTATGAGTTGAATGCAAACATCACAAAGAAATTTCTGAGAATGCTGCTGTCTACCTTTTATTTGAATTCCCGCTTCCAACGAAATCCTCCAAGCTATCCAAATATCCACTTGCAGATTCCACAAAAAGAGTGTTTCAAAACTGCTCTCTATCAATGGCAAAGTTCAACTCTGTTAGTTGAGGACACATATCACCAACAAGTTTCTGAGAATGCTTCTGTCTATTTTTTATGGGAAGATATTTCCTTTTTCACCGTAGGCGTCAAGGCGATCGAAATGTCCACTTCCACAAACTACAAAAAGAGTGTTTCAAACCTGCTCTATGAAAGGCCATGTTCATCTCTATGAGTTGAATGGAAATATCCGAAAGAAATTTCTGGGAATGCTGCTGTCTAGTGTTTATACCAAATTCCCGCTTCCAACGAAATCCTCAAAGCAATCCAAATATCCACTTGCAGAATCCACAAAAAGAGTGTTTCAAAACTGCTCTATCAATAGAAAGGTTCAACTCTTTTAGTTGAGTACACACATCACGAACAAGTTTCTGAGAATGCTTCTGTCTGGCTTTTATTGGAAGACGTTTCCTTTTCACCAAAGGCATCAAAGCGCTCCAAATGTCCACTTCCAGATTCTTCCAAAAGAGTGTTTCAAACGTGCTCAAAGTAAGGGAATGTTCAACTCTGTGACTTGAATGCAGATATCACCAAGTAGTTTCTAATAGTGCTTCTGTCTAGATTTTAGATGATGATATTCCCGTTTCCAACGAAATCGTTAGAGCTATCAAAATATCCACTTACAGTTTCTACCAAAAGGGTGTTTCCAAACTGCTGCATTAAAAGAAAGGTTCAACTCTGTTAGTTGAGGACACACATCACAAAGAAGTTTGTGAGAATGCTTCTGTCTAGATTTTGTATGACGATATTCCCTTTTCCAACGATATCGTTAAAGCAATCTCAATATCAATTTGCAGAATCCACAAAAATAGAGTTTCAAAGCTGCTCTGTAAAAAGAAAGGTTCCACTCTGTTAGCTGAGTACACACATCACAAACTTGTTTCTGAGAATCCTTCTGTCTCGTTTTTATGGGAAGATATTTACTTTTTCACCGTAGGCATCAAAGCCCTCCAAATGTCCACATCCAGATACTCCAGAAACAGTGTTTCAAACCTGCTCTATGAAAGGGAATCTTCAACTCTATGAGTTGAATGCAGACATCAGAAAGAAATTTCTGAGAATGCTGCTGTCTACCTTTTATTTGAATTCCCGCTTCCAACGAAATCCTCCAAGCTATCCAAATATCCACCTGCATTTTCCACAACAAGAGTGTTTCAAAACTGCTCTATCAATAGAAATGTTCAACTCCTTTGGCTGGGTACACACATCACAAACAAGTTTGTGAGAATGCTTCTGTCTAGTTTTTATGGGTAGACATTCCCTTTTTCACCAAAGGCATCAAAGCGCTCCAAATGTCCACTTCCAGACACTACAAAAAGAGTGTTTCAAACGTGCTCTAAGAAAGCGAATGTTCAACTCTGTGACTTGAATGCAGATATCACAAAGTAGTTTCTGAGAGGGCTTCTGTCTAGATTTTAGATGATGATATTCCCGTTTCCAACCGAAATCATTAGAGCTATCCAAATATCCACTTACAGTTTCTACAAAAAGAGTGTTTCCAAACTGCTGCATCAAAAGAGAGGTTCCACTCTGTTAGCTGAGTACACACATCACAAACTTGTTTCTCAGAATCCTTCTGTCTCGTTTTTATGGGAAGATATTTACTTTTTCACCGTAGGCATCAAACCGCTCCAAATGTCCACATCCAGATACTCCAGAAAGAGTGTTTCAAACCTGCTCTATGAAAGGGAATCTTCAACACTATGAGTTGAATGCAGACATCAGAAAGAAATTTCTGAGAATGCTGCTGTCTACCTTTTATTTGAATTCCCGCTTCCAACGAAATCCTCCAAGCTATCCAAATATCCACTTGCAGATTCCACAAAAAGAGTGTTTCAAAACTGCTCTCTATCAATGGCAAAGTTCAACTCTGTTAGTTGAGGACACATATCACCAACAAGTTTCTGAGAATGCTTCTGTCTATTTTTTATGGGAAGATATTTCCTTTTTCACCGTAGGCGTCAAGGCGATCGAAATGTCCACTTCCACAAACTACAAAAAGAGTGTTTCAAACCTGCTCTATGAAAGGCCATGTTCATCTCTATGAGTCGAATGGAAATATCCGAAAGAAATTTCTGGGAATGCTGCTGTCTAGTTTTTATACGAATTCCTGCTTCCAACGAAATCCTCAAAGCAATCCAAATATCCACTTGCAGAATCCACAAAAAGAGTGTTTCAAAACTGCTCTATCAATAGAAAGGTTCAACTCTTTTAGTTGAGTACACACATCACAAACAAGTTTCTGTTAATGCTTCTGTCTGGCTTTTATTGGAAGACGTTTCCTTTTCACCAAAGGCATCAAAGCGCTCCAAATGTCCACTTCCAGATTCTACCAAAAGAGTGTTTCAAACGTGCTCATAGTAAGGGAATGTTCAACTCTGTGACTTGAATGCAGATATCACCAAGTAGTTTCTAATAGTGCTTCTGTCTAGATTTTAGATGATGATATTCCCGTTTCCAACGAAATCGTTAGAGCTATCCAAATATCCACTTACAGTTGCTACAAAAACAGTGTTTCCAAACTGCTGCATCAAAAGAAAGGTTCAACTCTGTTAGTTGAGGACACACATCACAAAGAAGTTTGTGAGAATGCTTCTGTCTAGATTTTGTATGACGATATTCCCTTTTCCAACGATATCGTTAAAGCAATCTAAATATCCATTTGCAGAATCCACAAAAATAGAGTTTCAAAGCTGCTCTGTAAAAAGAAAGGTTCCACTCTGTTAGCTGAGTACACACATCGCAAACTTGTTTCTCAGAATCCTGCTGTCTACCTTTTATTTGAATTCCCGCTTCCAACGAAATCCTCCAAGCTATCCAAATATCCACTTGCATTTTCCACAAAAAGAGTGTTTCAAAACTGCTCTATCAATAGAAATGTTCAACTCCTTTAGTTGGGTACACACATCACAAACAAGTTTCTGAGAATGCTTGTGTCTAGTTTTTATGGGAAGACATTCCCTTTTTCACCAAAGGCATCAAAGCGCTCCAAATGTCCACTTCCAGACACTACAAAAAGAGTGTTTCCAACGTGCTCTAAGAAAGCGAATATTCAACTCTGTGACTTGAATGCAGATATCACAAAGTAGTTTCTGAGAGTGCTTCTGTCTAGATTTTAGATGATGATATTCCCGTTTCCAACAAAATCATTAGAGCTTCCAAATATCCACTTACAGTTTCTACAAAAAGAGTGTTTCCAAACTGCTGCATCAAAAGAGAGGTTCCACTCTGTTAGCTGAGTATACACATCACAAACTTGTTTCTCAGAATCCTTCTGTCTCGTTTTTATGGGAAGATATTTACTTTTTCACCGTAGGCATCAAAGCGCTCCAAATGTCCACATCCAGATACTCCAGAAAGAGTGTTTCAAACCTGCTCTATGAAAGGGAATCTTCAACTCTATGAGTTGAATGCAGACATCAGAAAAAAATTTCTGAGAATGCTGCTGTCTACTTTTTATTTGAATTCCCGCTTCCAACGAAATCCTCCAAGCTATCCAAATATCCACTTGCAGATTCCACAAAAAGAGTGTTTCAAAACTGCTCTCTATCAATGGCAAAGTTCAACTCTGTTAGTTGAGGACACATATCACCAACAAGTTTCTGAGAATGTTTCTGTCTATTTTTTATGGGAAGATATTTCCTTTTTCACCGTAGGCGTCAAGGCGATCGAAATGTCCACTTCCACAAACTACAAAAAGAGTGTTTCAAACCTGCTCTATGAAAGGCCATGTTCATCTCTATGAGTTGAATGGAAATATCCGAAAGAAATTTCTGGGAATGCTGCTGTCTAGTTTTTATACGAATTCCCGCTTACAACAAAATCCTCAAAGCAATCCAAATATCCACTTGCAGAATCCACAAAAAGAGTGTTTCAAAACTGCTCTATCAATAGAAAGGTTCAACTCTTTTAGTTGAGTACACACATCACAAACAAGTTTCTGAGAATGCTTCTGTCTGGCTTTTATTGGAAGACGTTTCCTTTTCACCAAAGGCATCAAAGCGCTCCAAATGTCCACTTCCAGATTCTTCCAAAAGAGTGTTTCAAACGTGCTCAAAGTAAGGGAATGTTCAACTCTGTGACTTGAATGCAGATATCACCAAGTAGTTTCTAATAGTGCTTCTGTCTAGATTTTAGATGATGATATTCCCGTTTCCAACGAAATCTTTAGAGCTATCCAAATATCCACTTACAGTTTCTACAAAAAGAGTGTTTCCAAACTGCTGCATCAAAAGAAAGGTTCAACTCTGTTAGTTGAGGACACACATCACAAAGAAGTTTGTGAGAATGCTTCTGTCTAGATTTTGTATGACGATATTCCCTTTTCCAACGATATCGTTAAAGCAATCTAAATATCAATTTGCAGAATCCACAAAACTAGAGTTTCAAAGCTGCTCTGTAAAAACAAAGGTTCCACTCTGTTAGCTGAGTACACACATCACAAACTTGTTTCTGAGAATCCTTCTGTCTCGTTTTTATGGGAAGATATTTACTTTTCCACCGTAGGCATCAAAGCGCTCCAAATGTCCACATCCAGATACTCCAGAACGAGTGTTTCAAACCTCCTCTATGAAAGGGAATCCTCAACTCTATGAGTTGAATGCAGACATCAGAAAGAAATTTCTGAGAATGCTGCTGTCTACCTTTTATTTGAATTCCCGCTTCCAACGAAATCCTCCAAGCTATCCAAATATCCACCTGCATTTTCCACAACAAGAGTGTTTCAAAACTGCTCTATCAATAGAAATGTTCAACTGCTTTGGCTGGGTACACACATCACAAACAAGTTTCTGAGAATGCTTCTGTCTAGTTTTTATGGGAAGACATTCCCTTTTTCACCAAAGGCATCAAAGCGCTCCAAATGTCCACTTCCAGACACTACAAAAAGAGTGTTTCAAACGCGCTCTAAGAAAGCGAATGTTCAACTCTGTGACTTGAATGCAGATATCACAAAGTAGTTTCTGAGAGTGCTTCTGTCTAGATTTTAGATGATGATATTCCCGTTTCCAACGAAATCATTAGAGCTATCCAAATATCCACTTACAGTTTCTACAAAAAGAGTGTTTCCAAACTGCTGCATCAAAGGAGAGGTTCCAATCTGTTAGCTGAGTACAAACATCACAAACTTGTTTCTCAGAATCCTGCTGTCTACCTTTTATTTGAATTCCCGCTTCCAACGAAATCCTCCAAGCTATCCAAATATCCACTTGCAGATTCCACAAAAAGAGTGTTTCAAAACTGCTCTCTATCAATGGCAAAGTTCAACTCTGTTAGTTGAGGACACATATCACCAACAAGTTTCTGAGAATGCTTCTGTCTATTTTTTATGGGAAGATATTTCCTTTTTCAGCGTAGGCGTCAAGGCGATCGAAATGTCCACTTCCACAAACTACAAAAAGAGTGTTTCAAACCTGCTCTATGAAAGGCCATGTTCATCTCTATGAGTTGAATGGAAATATCCGAAAGAAATTTCTGGGAATGCTGCTGTCTAGTGTTTATACGAATTCCCGCTTCCAACGAAATCCTCAAAGCAATCCAAATATCCACTTGCAGAATCCACAAAAAGAGTGTTTCAAAACTGCTCTATCAATAGAAAGGTTCAACCCTTTTAGTTGAGTACACACATCACGAACAAGTTTCTGAGAATGCTTCTCTCTGGCTTTTATTGGAAGACGTTTCCTTTTCACCAAAGGCATCAAAGCGCTCCAAATGTCCACTTCCAGATTCTTCCAAAAGAGTGTTTCAAACGTGCTCAAAGTAAGGGAATGTTCAACTCTGTGACTTGAATGCAGATATCACCAAGTAGTTTCTAATAGTGCTTCTGTCTACATTTTAGATGATTATATTCCCGTTTCCAACGAAATCGTTAGAGCTATCCAAATATCCAGTTACAGTTTCTACCAAAAGGGTGTTTCCAAATTGCTGCATCAAAAGAAAGGTTCAACTCTGTTAGTTGAGGACACACATCACAAAGAAGTTTGTGAGAATGCTTCTGTCCAGATTTTGTATGACGATATTCCCTTTTCCAATGATATCGTTAAAGCAATCTAAATATCAATTTGCAGAATCCACAAAAATAGAGTTTCAAAGCTGCTCTGTAAAAAGAAAGGTTCCACTCTGTTAGCTGAGTACACACATCACAAACTTGTTTCTGAGAATCCTCTGTCTCGTTTTTATGGGAAGATATTTACTTTTCCACCGTAGGCATCAAAGCGCTCCAAATGTCCACATCCAGATACTCCAGAACGAGTGTTTCAAACCTGCTCTATGAAAGGGAATCTTCAACTCTATGAGTTGAATGCAGACATCAGAAAGAAATTTCTGAGAATGCTGGCTGTCTACCTTTTATTTGAATTCCCGCTTGCAACGAAATCCTCCAAGCTATCCAAATATCCACCTGCATTTTCCACAACAAGAGTGTTTCAAAACTGCTCTATCAATAGAAATGTTCAACTCCTTTGGCTGGGTACACACATCACAAACAAGTTTCTGAGAATGCTTCTGTCTAGTTTTTATGGGAAGACATTTCCTTTTTCACCAAAGGCATCAAAGAGCTCCAAATGTCCACTTCCAGATACTACAAAAAGAGTGTTTCAAAAGTGCTCTCAGAAAGCGCATGTTCAACTCTGTGACTTGAATGCAGATATCAAAAAGTAGTTTCTGAGAGTGCTTCTGTCTAGATTTTAGATGATGATATTCCCGTTTCCAACGAAATCATTAGAGCTATCCAAATATCCACTTACAGTTTCTACAAAAAGAGTGTTTCCAAACTGCTGCATCAAAAGAGAGGTTCCACTCTGTTAGCTGAGTACACACATCACAAACTTGTTTCTGAGAATCCTTCTGTGTCGTTTTTATGGGAAGATATTTACTTTTTCACCGTAGGCATCAAAGCGCTCCAAATGTCCACATCCAGATACTCCAGAAAGAGTGTTTCAAACCTGCTCTATGAAAGGGAATCTTCAACTCTATGAGGTTGAATGCAGACATCAGAAAGAAATTTCTGAGAATGCTGCTGTCTACCTTTTATTTGAATTCCCGCTTCCAACGAAATCCTCCAAGCTATCCAAATATCCACTTGCAGATTCCACAAAAAGAGTGTTTCAAAACTGCTCTCTATCAATGGCAAAGTTCAACTCTGTTAGTTGAGGACACATATCACCAACAAGTTTCTGAGAATGCTTCTGTCTATTTTTTATGGGAAGATATTTCCTTTTTCACCGTAGGCGTCAAGGCGATCGAAATGTCCACTTCCACAAACTACAAAAAGAGTGTTTCAAACCTGCTCTATGAAAGGCCATGTTCATCTCTATGAGTCGAATGGAAATATCCGAAAGAAATTTCTGGGAATGCTGCTGTCTAGTGTTTATATGAATTCCCGCTTCCAACGAAATCCTCAAAGCAATCCAAATATCCACTTGCAGAATCCACAAAAAGAGTGTTTCAAAACTGCTCTATCAATAGAAAGGTTCAACTCTTTTAGTTGAGTACACACATCACAAAAAAGTTTCTGAGAATGCTTCTGTCTGGCTTTTATTGGAAGACGTTTCCTTTTCACCAAAGGCATCAAAGCGCTCCAAATGTCCACTTCCAGATTCTTCCAAAAGAGTGTTTGAAACGTACTCAAAGTAAGGGAATGTTCAACTCTGTGACTTGAATGCAGATATCACCAAGTAGTTTCTAATAGTGCTTCTGTCTAGATTTTAGATGATGATATTCCCGTTTCCAACGAAATCGTTAGAGCTATCCAAATATACAGTTACAGTTTCTACCAAAAGGGTGTTTGCAAACTGCTGCATCAAAAGAAAGGTTCAACTCTGTTAGTTGAGGACACACATCACAAAGAAGTTTGTGAGAATGCTTCTGTCCAGATTTTGTATGACGATATTCCCTTTTCCAACGATATCATTAAAGCAATCTAAATATCCATTTGCAGAATCCACAAAAATAGAGTTTCAAAGCTGCTCTGTAAAAAGAAAGGTTCCACTCTGTTAGCTGAGTACACACATCACAAACTTGTTTCTCAGAATCCTGCTGTCTACCTTTTATTTGAATTCCCGCTTCCAACGAAATCCTCCAAGCTATCCAAATATCCACTTGCAGATTCCACAAAAAGAGTGTTTCAAAACTGCTCTCTATCAATGGCAAAGTTCAACTCTGTTAGTTGAGGACACATATCACCAACAAGTTTCTGAGAATGCTTCTGTCTATTTTTTATGGGAAGATATTTCCTTTTTCAGCGTAGGCGTCAAGGCGATCGAAATGTCCACTTCCACAAACTACAAAAAGAGTGTTTCAAACCTGCTCTATGAAAGGCCATGTTCACCTCTATGAGTTGAATGGAAATATCCGAAAGAAATTTCTGGGAATGCTGCTGTCTAGTTTTTATATGAATTCCCGCTTCCAACGAAATCCTCAAAGCAATCCAAATATCCACTTGCAGAATCCACAAAAAGAGTGTTTCAAAACTGCTCTATCAATAGAAAGGTTCACCTCTTTTAGTTGAGTACACACATCACAAACAAGTTTCTGAGAATGCTTCTGTCTGGCTTTTATTGGAAGACGTTTCCTTTTCACCAAAGGCATCAAAGCGCTCCAAATGTCCACTTCCAGATTCTTCCAAAAGAGTGTTTGAAACGTGCTCAAAGTAAGGGAATGTTCAACTCTGTGACTTGAATGCAGATATCACCAAGTAGTTTCTAATAGTGTTTCTGTCTAGATTTTAGATGATGATATTCCCGTTTCCAATGAAATCGTTAGAGCTATCCAAATATCCACTTACAGTTTCTACAAAAACAGTGTTTCCAAACTGCTGCATCAAAAGAAAAGTTCAACTCTGTTAGTTGAGGACACACATCACAAAGAAGTTTGTGAGAATGCTTCTGTCTAGATTTTGTATGACGATATTCCCTTTTCCAATGATATCGTTAAAGCAATCTAAATATCAATTTGCAGAATCCACAACAATAGAGTTTCAAAGCTGCTCTGTAAAAAGAAAGGTTCCACTCTGTTAGCTGAGTACACACATCACAAACTTGTTTCTGAGAATCCTTCTGTCTCGTTTTTATGGGAAGATATTTACTTTTTCACCGTAGGCATCAAAGTGCTCCAAATGTCCACATCCAGATACTCCAGAAAGAGTGTTTCAAACCTGCTCTATGAAAGGGAATGTTCAACTCTATGAGTTGAATGCAGACATCAGAAAGAAATTTCTGAGAATGCTGCTGTCTACCTTTTATTTGAATTCCCGCTTCCAACGAAATCCTCCAAGCTATCCAAATATCCACTTGCAGATTCCACAAAAAGAGTGTTTCAAAACTGCTCTCTATCAATGGCAAAGTTCAACTCTGTTAGTTGAGGACACATATCACCAACAAGTTTCTGAGAATGCTTCTGTCTATTTTTTATGGGAAGATATTTCCTTTTTCACCGTAGGTGTCAAGGCGATCGAAATGTCCACTTCCACAAACTACAAAAAGAGTGTTTCAAACCTGCTCTATGAAAGGCCATGTTCATCTCTATGAGTCGAATGGAAATATCCGAAAGAAATTTCTGGGAATGCTGCTGTCTAGTTTTTATACCGAATTCCCGCTTCCAACGAAATCCTCAAAGCAATCCAAATATCCACTTGCAGAATCCACAAAAAGAGTGTTTCAAAACTGCTCTATCAATAGAAAGGTTCAACTCTTTTAGTTGAGTACACACATCACAAACAAGTTTCTGAGAATGCTTCTGTCTGGCTTTTATTGGAAGACGTTTCCTTTTCACCAAAGACATCAAAGCGCTCCAAATGTCCACTTCCAGATTCTTCCAAAAGAGTGTTTCAAACGTGCTCAAAGTAAGGGAATGTTCAACTCTGTGACTTGAATGCAGATATCACCAAGTAGTTTCTAATAGTGCTTCTGTGTATACTTTAGATGAAGGTATTCCCGTTTCCAATGATATCGTTAGACCTACCCAAATATCCACTTACAGTTTCTACAAAAAAAGTGTTTCCAAACTGCTGCATCTAAAGAAAGGTTCAACTCTGTGAGTTGAGGACACACATCACAGAGAAGTTTCTGAGAAAGCTTCTGTCCAGATTTTGTATGACGATATTCCCTTTTCCAACGATATCGTTAAAGCAATCTAAATATCCATTTGCAGAATCCACAAAAATAGAGTTTCAAAGCTGCTCTGTCAAAAGAAAGGTTCCACTCTGTTAGCTGAGTACACACATCACAAACTTGTTTCTGAGAATCCTTTCTGTCTCGTTTTTCTGGGAAGATATTTACTTTTTCACCGTAGGCATCAAAGCGCTCCAAATGTCCACATCCAGATACTCCAGAAAGAGTGTTTCAAACCTGCTCTATGAAAGGGAATCTTCAACTCTATGAGTTGAATGCAGACATCAGAAAGAAATTTCTGAGAATGCTGCTGTCTACCTTTTATTTGAACTCCCGCTTCCAACGAAATCCTCCAAGCTATCGAAATATCCACTTGCATTTTCCACAAAAAGAGTGCTTCAAAACTGCTCTATCAATAGAAATGTTCAACTCCTTTAGCTGGGTGCACACATCACAAACAAGTTTCTGAGAATGCTTCTGTCTATTTTTTATGGGAAGATATTTCCTTTTTCACTGTAGGCGTCAAGGAGATCGAAATGTCCACTTCCACAAACTACAAAAAGAGTGTTTCAAACCTGCTCTATGAAAGGCGATGTTCATCTCAATGAGTTGAATGGAAATATCCGAAAGAAATTTCTGGGAATGCTGCTGTCTAGTTTTTATATGAATTCCCGCTTCCAACGAAATCCTCAAAGCAATCCAAATATCCACTTGCAGAATCCACAAAAAGAGTGTTTCAAAACCGCTCTATCAATAGAAAGGTTCAACTCTTTTAGTTGAGTACACACATCACAAACAAGTTTCTGAGAATGCTTCTGTCTGGCTTTTATTGGAAGACGTTTCCTTTTCACCAAAGGCATCAAAGTGCTCCAAATGTCCACTTCCAGATTCTTCCAAAAGAGTGTTTCAAACGTGGTCGAAGTAAGGGAATGTTCTACTCTGTGACTTGAATGCAGATATCACCAAGTAGTTTCTAATAGTGCTTCTGTCTAGATTTTAGATGATGATATTCCCGTTTCCAACGAAATCGTTAGATCTATCCAAATATCCACTTACAGTTGCTACAAAAACAGTGTTTCCAAACTGCTGCATCAAAAGAAAGGTTCAACTCTGTTAGTTGAGGACACACGTCACAAAGAAGTTTGTGAGAATGCTTCTGTCTAGATTTTGTATGAAGATATTCCCTTTTCCAACGATATCGTTAAATCAACCCAAATATCAATTTGCAGAATCCACAGAAATAGAGTTTCAAAGCTGCTCTGTAAAAAGAAAGGATCCACTCTGTTAGCTGAGTACACACATCACAAACTTGTTTCTGAGAATACTCTGTCTCGTTTTTATGGGAAGATATTTACTTTTCACCGTAGGCATCAAAGCGCTCCAAATGTCCACATCCAGATACTCCAGAAAGAGTGTTTCAAACCTGCTCTATGAAAGGGAATCTTCAACTCTATGAGTTGAATGCAGACATCAGAAAGAAATTTCTGAGAATGCTGCTGTCTACCTTTTATTTGAATTCCCGCTTCCAACGAAATCCTCCAAGCTATCCAAATATCCACTTGCAGATTCCACAAAAAGAGTGTTTCAAAACTGCTCTCTATCAATGGCAAAGTTCAACTCTGTTAGTTGAGGACACATATCACCAACAAGTTTCTGAGAATGCTTCTGTCTATTTTTTATGGGAAGATATTTCCTTTTTCACCGTAGGCGTCAAGGCGATCGAAATGTCCACTTCCACAAACTACAAAAAGAGTGTTTCAAACCTGCTCTATGAAAGGCCATGTTCTTCTCTATGAGTTGAATGGAAATATCCGAAAGAAATTTCTGGTAATGCTTCTGTCTGGCTTTTATTGGAAGACGTTTCCTTTTCACCAAAGGCATCAAAGCGCTCCAAATGTCCACTTCCAGATTCTTCCAAAAGAGTGTTTCAAACGTGCTCGAAGTAAGGGAATGTTCAACTCTGTGACTTGAATGCAGATATCACCAAGAAGTTTCTAATAGTGCTTCTGTCTAGATTTTAGATGATGATATTCCCGTTTCCAACGAAATCGTTAGAGCTATCCAAATATCCACTTACAGTTTCTACCAAAAGGGTGTTTCCAAACTGCTGCATCAAAAGAAAGGTTCAACTCTGTTAGTTGAGGACACACATCACAAAGAAGTTTGTGAGAATTCTTCTGTCCAGATTTTGTATGACCATATTCCCTTTTCCAACGATATCGTTAAAGCAATCTAAATATCCATTTGCAGAATCCACAAAAATAGAGTTTCAAAGCTGCTCTGTAAAAAGAAAGGTTCCACTCTGTTAGCTGAGTACACACATCACAAACTTGTCTCTCAGAATCCTGCTGTCTACCTTTTATTTGAATTCCCGCTTCCAACGAAATCCTCCAAGCTATCCAAATATCCACCTGCATTTTCCACAACAAGAGTGTTTCAAAACTGCTCTATCAATAGAAATGTTCAACTCCTTTGGCTGTGTACACACATCACAAACAAGTTTCTGAGAATGCTTCTGTCTAGTTTTTATGGGAAGACGTTCCCTTTTTCACCAAAGGCATCAAAGCGCTCCAAGTGTCCACTTCCAGACACTACAAAAAGAGTGTTTCCAACGTGCTCTAAGAAAGCGAATGTTCAACTCTGTGACTTGAATGCAGATATCACAAAGTAGTTTCTGAGAGGGCTTCTGTCTAGATTTTAGATGATGATATTCCCGTTTCCAACGAAATCATTAGAGCTATCCAAATATCCACTTACAGTTTCTACAAAAAGAGTGTTTCCAAACTGCTGCATCAAAACAGAGGTTCCACTCTGTTAGCTGAGTACACACATCACAAACTTGTTTCTCAGAATCCTTCTGTCTCGTTTTTATGGGAAGATATTTACTTTTTCACCGTAGGCATCAAAGCGCTCCAAATGTCCACATCCAGATACTACAGAAAGAGTATTTCAAACCTGCCCTATGAAAGGGAATGTTCAACTCTATGAGTTGAATGCAGAGATCAGAAAGAAATTTCTGAGAATGCTGCTGTCTACCTTTTATTTGAATTCCCGCTTCCAACGAAATCCTCCAAACTATCCAAATATCCACTTGCAGATTCCACAAAAAGAGTGTTTCAAAACTGCTCTCTATCAATGGCAAAGTTCAACTCTGTTAGTTGAGGACACATATCACCAACAAGTTTCTGAGAATGCTTCTGTCTATTTTTTATGGGAAGATATTTCCTTTTTCACCGTAGGCGTCAAGGCGATCGAAATGTCCACTTCCACAAACTACAAAAAGAGTGTTTCAAACCTGCTCTATGAAAGGCCATGTTCATCTCTATGAGTTGAATGGAAATATCCGAAAGAAATTTCTGGGAATGCTGCTGTCTAGTTGTTATACGAATTCCCGCTTCCAACGAAATCCTCAAAGCAATCCAAATATCCACTTGCAGAATCCACAAAAAGAGTGTTTCAAAACTGCTCTATCAATAGAAAGGTTCAACTCTTTTAGTTGAGTACACACATCTCAAACAAGTTTCTGAGAATGCTTCTGTCTGGCTTTTATTGGAAGACGTTTCCTTTTCACCAAAGGCATCAAAGCGCTCCAAATGTCCACTTCCAGATTCTTCCAAAAGAGTGTTTCAAACGTGCTCAAAGTAAGGGAATGTTCAACTCTGTGACTTGAATGCAGATATCACCAAGTAGTTTCTAATAGTGCTTCTGTCTAGCATTTTAGATGATGATATTCCCGTTTCCAACGAAATCGTTAGAGCTATCCAAATATCCACTTACAGTTTCTACCAAAAGGGTGTTTCCAAACTGCTGCATCAAAAGAAAGGTTCAACTCTGTTAGTTGAGGACACACATCACAAAGAAGTTTGTGAGAATGCTTCTGTCTAGATTTTGTATGAAGATATTCCCTTTTCCAACGATGTCGTTAAATCAACCCAAATATCAATTTGCAGAATCCACAGAAATAGAGTTTCAAAGCTGCTCTGTAAAAAGAAAGGATCCACTCTATTAGCTGAGTACACACATCACAAACTTGTTTCTGAGAATCCTTCTGTCTAGTTTTTACGGGAAGATATTTCCTTTTTCACCGTATGTATCAAAGCGCTCCAAATGTCCACATCCAGATACTACAGAAAGAGTGTTTCAAACCTGCTCTATGAAAGGGAATCTTCAACTCTATGAGTTGAATGCAGACATCAGAAAGAAATTTCTGAGAATGCTGCTGTCTACCTTTTATTTGAATTCCCGCTTCCAACGAAATCCTCCAAGCTATCCAAATATCCACTTGCAGATTCCACAAAAAGAGTGTTTCAAAACTGCTCTCTATCAATGGCAAAGTTCAACTCTGTTAGTTGAGGACACATATCACCAACAAGTTTCTGAGAATGCTTCTGTCTATTGTTTATGGGAAGATATTTCCTTTTTCACCGTAGGCGTCAAGGCTATCGAAATGTCCACTTCCACAAACTACAAAAAGAGTGTTTCAAACCTGCTCTATGAAAGGCCATGTTCATCTCTATGAGTTGAATGGAAATATCCGAAAGAAATTTCTGGGAATGCTGCTGTCTAGTGTTTATACGAATTCCCGCTTCCAACGAAATCCTCAAAGCAATCCAAATATCCACTTGCAGAATCCACAAAAAGAGTGTTTCAAAACTGCTCTATCAATAGAAAGGTTCAACTCTTTTAGTTGAGTACACACATCACGAACAAGTTTCTGAGAATGCTTCTGTCTGGCTTTTATTGGAAGACGTTTCCTTTTCACCAAAGGCATCAAAGCGCTCCAAATGTCCACTTCCAGATTCTTCCAAAAGAGTGTTTCAAACGTGCTCAAAGTAAGGTAATGTTCAACTCTGTGACTTGAATGCAGATATCACCAAGTAGTTTCTAATAGTGCTTCCGTCTAGATTTCAGATGATGATATTCCCGTTTCCAACGAAATCGTTAGAGCTAAGCAAATATCCAGTTACAGTTTCTACCAAAAGGGTGTTTCCAAATTGCTGCATCAAAAGAAAGGTTCAACTCTGTTAGTTGAGGACACACATCACAAAGAAGTTTGTGAGAATGCTTCTGTCTAGATTTTGTATGACGATATTCCCTTTTCCAACGATATCGTTAAAGCAATCTAAATATCAATTTGCAGAATCCACAAAAATAGAGTTTCAAAGCTGCTCTGTAAAAATAAAAGTTCCACTCTGTTAGCTGAGTACACACATCACAAACTTGTTTCTGAGAATCCTTCTGTCTCGTTTTTATGGGAAGATATTTACTTTTTCACCGTAGGCATCAAAGCGCTCCAAATGTCCACATCCAGATACTCCAGAAAGAGTGTTTCAAACCTGCTCTATGAAAGGGAATCTTCAACCCTATGAGTTGAATGCAGACATCAGAAAGAAATTTCTGAGAATGCTGCTGCTGTCTACCTTTTATTTGAATTCCCGCTTCCAACGAAATCCTCCAAGCTATCCAAATATCCACTTGCATTTTCCACAAAAAGAGTGTTTCAAAACTACTCTATCAATAGAAATGTTCAACTCCTTTAGCTGGGTACACACATCACAAACAACTTTCTGAGAATGCTTCTGTCTAGTTTTTATGGGAAGACATTTCCTTTCTCACCAAAGGCATCAAAGAGCTCCAAATGTCCACTTCCAGATACTACAAAAAGAGTGTTTCAAAAGTGCTCTAAGAAAGCGAATGTTCAACTCTGTGACTTGAGTGCAGATATCAAAAAGTAGTTTCTGAGAGTGCTTCTGTCTAGATTTTAGATGATGATATTCGCGTTTCCAACGAAATCATTAGAGCTATCCAAATATCCACTTACAGTTTCTACAAAAAGAGTGTTTCCAAACTGCTGCATCAAAAGAGAGGTTCCACTCTGTTAGCTGAGTACACACATCACAAACTTGTTTCTCAGAATCCTTCTGTCTCGTTTTTATGGGAAGATATTTACTTTCTCACCGTAGGCATCAAAGCGCTCCAAATGTCCACATCCAGATACTCCAGAAACAGTGTTTCAAACCTGCTCTATGAAAGGGAATCTTCAACTCTATGAGTTGAATGCAGACATCAGAAAGAAATTTCTGAGAATGCTGCTGTCTACCTTTTATTTGAATTCCCGCTTCCAACGAAATCCTCCAAGCTATCCAAATATCCACTTGCAGATTCCACAAAAAGAGTGTTTCAAAACTGCTCTCTATCAATGGCAAAGTTCAACTCTGTTAGTTGAGGACACATATCACCAACAAGTTTCTGAGAATGCTTCTGTCTATTGTTTATGGGAAGATATTTCCTTTTTCACTGTAGGCGTCACGGCGATCGAAATGTCCACTTCCACAAACTACAAAAAGAGTGTTTCAAACCTGCTCTATGAAAGGCGATGTTCATCTCAATGAGTTGAATGGAAATATCCGAAAGAAATTTCTGGGAATGCTGCTGTCTAGTTTTTATACGAATTCCCGCTTCCAATGAAATCCTCAAAGCAATCCAAATATCCACTTGCAGAATCCACAAAAAGAGTGTTTCAAAACTGCTCTATCAATAGAAAGGTTCAACTCTTTTAGTTGAGTACACACATCACAAACAAGTTTCTGAGAATGCTTCTGTCTGGCTTTTATTGGAAGACGTTTCCTTTTCACCAAAGGCATCAAAGCGCTCCAAATGTCCACTTCCAGATTCTTCCAAAAGAGTGTTTCAAACGTGCTCAAAGTAAGGGAATGTTCAACTCTGTGACTTGAATACAGATATCACCAAGTAGTTTCTAATAGTGCTTCTGTCTAGATTTTAGATGATGATATTCCCGTTTCCAACGAAATCGTTAGAAGTATCCAAATATCCACTTACAGTTTCTACAAAAAGAGTGTTTCCAAACTGCTGCATCAAAAGAAAGGTTCAACTCTGTTAGTTGAGGACACACATCACAAAGAAGTTTGTGAGAATGCTTCTGTCTAGATTTTGTATGACCATATTCCCTTTTCCAACGATATCGTTAAAGCAATCTAAATATCAATTTGCAGAATCCACAAAAATAGAGTTTCAAAGCTGCTCTGTAAAAAGAAAGGTTCCAATCTGTTAGCTGAGTACACACATCACAAACTTGTTTCTGAGAATCCTTCTGTCTAGTTTTTATGGGAAGATATTTCCTTTTTCACCGTAGGTATCAAAGCGCTCCAAATGTCCACATCCAGATACTACAGAAAGAGTGTTTCAAACCTGCTCTATGAAAGGGAATCTTCAACTCTATGAGTTGAATGCAGACATCAGAAAGTAATTTCTGAGAATGCTGCTGTCTACCTTTTATTTGAACTCCCGCTTCCAACGAAATCCTCCAAGCTATCCAAATATCCACTTGCATTTTCCACAAAAAGAGTGCTTCAAAACTGCTCTATCAATAAATGTTCAACTCCTTTAGCTGGGTGCACACATCACAATCAACTTTCTGAGAATGCTTCTGTCTAGTTTTTATGGGAAGACATTTCCTTTTTCACCAAAGGCATCAAAGAGCTCCAAATGTCCTCTTCCAGATATACAAAAAGAGTGTTTCAAAAGTGCTCTAAGAAAGCGAATGTTCAACTCTGTGACTTGAATGCAGATATCACAAAGTAGTTTCTGAGAGTGCTTCTGTCTAGATTTTAGATGATGATATTCCCGTTTCCAACGAAATCATTAGAGCTATCCAAATATCCACTTACAGTTTCTACAAAAAGAGGGTTTCCAAACTGCTGCATCAAAAGAGAGGTTCCACTCTGTTAGCTGAGTACACACATCACAAACTTGTTTCTCAGAATCCTTCTGTGTCGTTTTTATGGGAAGATATTTACTTTTTCACCGTAGGCATCAAAGCGCTCCAAATGTCCACATCCAGATACTCCAGAAAGAGTGTTTCAAACCTGCTCTATGAAAGGGAATCTTCAACTCTATGAGTTGAATGCAGACATCAGAAAGAAATTTCTGAGAATGCTGCTGTCTACCTTTTATTTGAATTCCCGCTTCCAACGAAATCCTCCAAGCTATCCAAATATCCACTTGCAGATTCCACAAAAAGAGTGTTTCAAAACTGCTCTCTATCAATGGCAAAGTTCAACTCTGTTAGTTGAGGACACATATCACCAACAAGTTTCTGAGAATGCTTCTGTCTATTTTTTATGGGTAGATATTTCCTTTTTCACCGTAGGCGTCAAGGCGATCGAAATGTCCACTTCCACAAACTACAAAAAGAGTGTTTCAAACCTGCTCTATGAAAGGCCATATTCATCTCTATGAGTTGAATGGAAATATCCGAAAGAAATTTCTGGGAATGCTGCTGTCTAGTTTTTATATGAATTCCCGCTTCCAACGAAATCCTCAAAGCAATCCAAATATCCACTTGCAGAATCCACAAAAAGAGTGTTTCAAAACTGCTCTATCAATAGAAAGGTTCAACTCTTTTAGTTGAGTACACACATCACAAACAAGTTTACTGAGAATGCTTTCTGTCTGGCTTTTATTGGAAGACGTTTCCTTTTCACCAAAGGCATCAAAGCGCTCCAAATGTCCACTTCCAGATTCTTCCAAAAGAGTGTTTCAAACGTGCTCAAAGTAAGGGAATGTTCAACTCTGTGACTTGAATGCAGATATCACCAAGTAGTTTCTAATAGTGTTTCTGTGTATACTTTAGATGAAGATATCCCCGTTTCCAACGATATCGTTAGACCTACCCAAATATCCACTTACAGTTTTTATAAAAAGAGTGTTTCCAAACTGCTGCATCAAAAGAAAGGTTCAACTCTGTTAGTTGAGGACACGCATCACAAAGAAGTTTCTGAGAAAGCTTCTGTCTAGTATTTTGTATGACCATATTCCCTTTTCCAGCGATATCGTTAAAGCAATCTAAATATCCATTTGCAGAATCCACAAAAATAGAGTTTCAAAGCTGCTCTGTAAAAAGAAAGGTTCCACTCTGTTAGCTGAGTACACACATCACAAACTTGTTTCTGAGAATCCTTCTGTCACGTTTTTATGGGAAGATATTTACTTTCTCACCGTAGGCATCAAAGCTCTCCAAATGTCCACATCCAGATACTCCAGAAAGAGTGTTTCAAACCTGCTCTATGAAAGGGAATCTTCAACTCTATGAGTTGAATGCAGACATCAGAAAGAAATTTCTGAGAATGCTGCTGTCTACCTTTTATTTGAATTCCCGCTTCCAACGAAATCCTCCAAGCTATCCAAATATCCACTTGCAGAGTCCACAAAAAGAGTGTTTCAAAACTGCTCTCTATCAATGGGAAAGTTCAACTCTGTTAGTTGAGGACACATATCACCAACAAGTTTCTGAGAATGCTTCTGTCTATTTTTTATGGGAAGATATTTCCTTTTTCAGCGTAGGCGTCAAGGCGATCGAAATGTCCACTTCCACAAACTGCAAAAAGAGTGTTTCAAACCTGCTCTATGAAAGGCCATGTTCATCTCTATGAGTTGAATGGAAATATCCGAAAGAAATTTCTGGGAATGCTGCTGTCTAGTGTTTATACGAATTCCCGCTTCCAACGAAATCCTCAAAGCAATCCAAATATCCACTTGCAGAATCCACAAAAAGAGTGTTTCAAAACTGCTCTATCAATAGAAAGGTTCAACTTCTTTTAGTTGAGTACACACATCACGAACAAGTTTCTGAGAATGCTTCTGTCTGGCTTTTATTGGAAGACGTTTCCTTTTCACCAAAGGCATCAAAGCGCTCCAAATGTCCACTTCCAGATTCTTCCAAAAGAGTGTTTCAAACGTGCTCAAAGTAAGGGAATGTTCAACTGTTTGACTTGAATGCAGATATCACCAAGTAGTTTCTAATAGTGCTTCTGTCTAGATTTTAGATGATGATATTCCCGTTTCCAACGAAATCGTTAGAGCTATCCAAATATCCACTTACAGTTTCTACAAAAAGAGTGTTTCCAAACTGCTGCATCAAAAGAAAGGTTCAACTCTGTTAGTTGAGGACACACATCACAAGGAAGTTTGTGAGAATGCTTCTGTCTAGATTTTGTATGACGATATTCCCTTTTCCAACGATATCGTTAAAGCAATCTAAATATCAATTTGCAGAATCCACAAAAATAGAGTTTCAAAGCTGCTCTGTAAAAAGAAAGGTTCCACTCTGTTAGCTGAGTACACACATCGCAAACTTGTTTCTGAGAATCCTTCTGTCTCGTTTTTATGGGAAGATATATACTTTTCCACCGTAGGCATCAAAGCGCTCCAAATGTCCACATCCAGATACTCCAGAACGAGTGTTTCAAACCTGCTCTATGAAAGGGAATCTTCAACTCTATGAGTTGAATGCAGACATCAGAAAGAAATTTCTGAGAATGCTCCTGTCTACCTTTTATTTGAATTCCCGCTTCCAACGAAATCCTCCAAGCTATCCAAATATCCACCTGCAGATTCCACAAAAAGAGTGTTTCAAAACTGCTCTATCAATAGAAATGTTCAACTCCTTTAGCTGGGTACACACATCACAAACAAGTTTCTGAGAATCCTTCTGTCTAGTTTTTATGGGAAGACATTCCCTTTTTCACCAAAGACATCAAAGCGCTCCAAATGTCCACTTCCAGACACTACAAAAAGAGTGTTTCAAACGTGCTCTAAGAAAGCGAATGTTCAACTCTGTGACTTGAATGCAGATATCACAAAGTAGTTTCTGAGAGGGCTTTCTGTCTAGTATTTTAGCATGATGATATTCCCGTTTCCAACGAAATCATTAGGAGCTATCCAAATATCCACTTACAGTTTCTACAAAAAGAGTATTTCCAAACTGCTGCATCAAAAGAGAGGTTCCACTCTGTTAGCTGAGTACACACATCACAAACTTGTTTCTCAGAATCCTTCTGTGTCGTTTTTCTGGGAAGATATTTACTTTTTCACCGTAGGCATCAAAGCGCTCCAAATGTCCACATCCAGATACTCCAGAAAGAGTGTTTCAAACCTGCTCTATGAAAGGGAATCTTCAACTCTATGAGTTGAATGCAGACATCAGAAAGAAATTTCTGAGAATGCTGCTGTCTACCTTTTATTTGAATTCCCGCTTCCAACGAAATCCTCCAAGCTATCCAAATATCCACTTGCAGATTCCACAAAAAGAGTGTTTCAAAACTGCTCTCTATCAATGGCAAAGTTCAACTCTGTTAGTTGAGGACACATATCACCAACAAGTTTCTGAGAATGCTTCTGTCTATTTTTTATGGGAAGATATTTCCTTTTTCACCGTAGGCGTCAAGGCGATCGAAATGTCCACTTCCACAAACTACAAAAAGAGTGTTTCAAACCTGCTCTATGCAAAGGCCATGTTCATCTCTATGAGTTGAATGGAAATATCCGAAAGAAATTTCTGGGAATGCTGCTGTCTAGTTTTTATACGAATTCCCGCTTCCAACGAAATCCTCAAAGCAATCCAAATATCCACTTGCAGAATCCACAAAAAGAGTGTTTCAAAACTGCTCTATCAATAGAAAGGTTCAACTCTTTTAGTTGAGTACACTCATCACAAACAAGTTTCTGAGAATGCTTCTGTCTGGCTTTTATTGGAAGACGTTTCGTTTTCACCAAAGGCATCAAAGCGCTCCAAATGTCCACTTCCAGATTCTTCCAAAAGAGTGTTTCAAACGTGGTCGAAGTAAGGGAATGTTCAACTCTGTGACTTGAATGCAGATATCACCAAGTAGTTTCTAATAGTGCTTCTGTGTATACTTTAGATGAAGATATTTCCGTTTCCAACGATATCGTTAGACCTATCCAAATATCCACTAACAGTTTCTACAAGAAGAGTGTTTCCAAACTGCTGCATCAAAAGAAAGGTTCAACTCTGTGAGTTGAGGACACACATCACAAAGAAGTTTCTGAGAAAGCTTCTGTCTAGATTTTGTATGACCATATTCCCTTTTCCAACGATATCGTTAAAGCAATCTAAATATCAATTTGCAGAATCCACAAAAAAAGAGTTTGAAAGCTGCTCTGTAAAAAGAAAGGTTCCACTCTGTTAGCTGAGTACACACATCACAAACTTGTTTCTCAGAATCCTTCTGTCTCGTTTTTCTGGGAAGATATTTACTTTTTCACCGTGGGCATCAAAGCGCTCCAAATGTCCACATCCAGATACTCCAGAAAGAGTGTTTCAAACCTGCTCTATGAAAGGGAATCTTCAACTCTATGAGTTGAATGCAGACATCAGAAAGAAATTTCTGAGAATGCTGCTGTCTACCTTTTATTTGAATTCCCGCTTCCAACGAAATCCTCCAAGCTATCCAAATATCCACTTGCAGATTCCACAAAAAGAGTGTTTCAAAACTGCTCTCTATCAATGGCAAAGTTCAACTCTGTTAGTTGAGGACACATATCACCAACAAGTTTCTGAGAATGCTTCTGTCTATTTTTTATGGGAAGATATTTCCTTTTTCACCGTAGGCGTCAAGGCGATCGAAATGTCCACTTCCACAAACTACAAAAAGAGTGTTTCAAACCTGCTCTATGAAAGGCCATGTTCATCTCTATGAGTCGAATGGAAATATCCGAAAGAAATTTCTGGGAATGCTGCTGTCTAGTTGTTATACGAATTCCCGCTTCCAACGAAATCCTCAAAGCAATCCAAATATCCACTTGCAGAATCCACAAAAAGAGTGTTTCAAAACTGCTCTATCAATAGAAAGTTTCAACTCTTTTAGTTGAGTACACACATCACAAACAAGTTTCTGAGAATGCTTCTGTCTGGCTTTTATTGGAAGACGTTTCCTTTTCACCAAAGGCATCAAAGCGCTCCAAATGTCCACTTCCAGATTCTTCCAAAAGAGTGTTGCAAACGTGCTCAATGTAAGGGAATGTTCAACTCTGTGACTTGAATGCAGATATCACCAAGTAGTTTCTAATAGTGCTTCTGT
This sequence comes from Homo sapiens, assembly GCF_000001405.40. NCBI lineage: Eukaryota > Metazoa > Chordata > Mammalia > Primates > Hominidae > Homo > Homo sapiens. The sequence continues at coordinate 17,630,631 of NC_000014.9, read as the reverse complement.
CTAGATTTTAGATGATGATATTCCCGTTTCCAACGAAATCGTTAGAGCTATCCAAATATCCACTTACAGTTTCTACCAAAAGGGTGTTTCCAAACTGCTGCATCAAAAGAAAGGTTCAACTACTGTTAGTTGAGGACACACGTCACAAAGCTGTTTGTGAGAATGCTTCTGTCTAGATTTTGTATGACCATATTCTCTTTTCCAACGATATCGTTAAAGCAATCTAAATATCAATTTGCAGAATCCACAAAAATAGAGTTTCAAAGCTGCTCTGTAAAAAGAAAGGTTCCACTCTGTTAGCTGAGTACACACATCACAAACTTGTTTCTGAGAATCCTTCTGTCTCGTTTTTATGGAAGATATTTACTTTTTCACCGTAGGCATCAAAGCGCTCCAAAGGTCCACATCCAGATACTCCAGAAAGAGTGTTTCAAACCTGCTCTATGAAAGGGAATCTTCAACTCTATGAGTTGAATGCAGACATCAGAAAGAAATTTCTGAGAATGCTGCTGTCTACCTTTTATTTGAATTCCCGCTTCCAACGAAATCCTCCAAGCTATCCAAATATCCCCCTGCATTTTCCACAAAAAGAGTGTTTCAAAACTGCTCTATCAATAGAAATGTTCAACTCCTTTAGCTGGGTACACACATCACAAACAAGTTTCTGAGAATGCTTCTGTCTAGTTTTTATGGGAAGACGTTCCCTTTTTCACCAAAGGCATCAAAGCACTCCAAATGTCCACTTCCAGACACTACAAAAAGAGTGTTTCAAACGTGCTCTAAGAAAGCGAATGTTCAACTCTGTGACTTGAATGCAGATATCACAAAGTAGTTTCTGAGAGGGCTTCTGTCTAGATTTTAGATGATGATATTCCCGTTTCCAACGAAATCATTAGAGCTATACAAATATCCACTTACAGTATCTACAAAAAGAGTGTTTCCAAACTGCTGCATCAAAAGAGGTTTCCACTCTGTTAGCTGAGTACACACATCACAAACTTGTTTCTCAGAATCCTTCTGTCTCGATTTTATGGGAAGATATTTACTTTTTCACCGTAGGCATCAAAGCGCTCCAAATGTCCACATCCAGATACTCCAGAAAGAGTGTTTCAAACCTGCTCTATGAAAGGGAATCTTCAACTCTATGAGTTGAATGCAGACATCAGAAAGAAATTTCTGAGAATGCTGCTGTCTAACTTTTATTTGAATTCCCGCTTCCAACGAAATCCTCCAAGCTATCCAAATATCCACTTGCAGATTCCACAAAAAGAGTGTTTCAAAACTGCTCTCTATCAATGGCAAAGTTCAACTCTGTTAGTTGAGGACACATATCACCAACAAGTTTCTGAGAATGCTTCTGTCTATTTTTTATGGGAAGATATTTCCTTTTTCACCGTAGGCGTCAAGGCGATCGAAATGTCCACTTCCACAAACTACAAAAAGAGTGTTTCAAACCTGCTCTATGAAAGGCCATGTTCATCTCTATGAGTCGAATGGAAATATCCGAAAGAAATTTCTGGGAATGCTGCTGTCTAGTTTTTATACGAATTCCCGCTTCCAACGAATTCCTGAAAGCAATCCAAATATCCACTTGCAGAATCCACAAAAAGAGTGTTTCAAAACTGCTCTATCAATAGAAAGGTTCAACTCTTTTAGTTGAGTACACACATCACAAACAAGTTTCTGAGAATGCTTCTGTCTGGCTTTTATTGGAAGACGTTTCCTTTTCACCAAAGGCATCAAAGCGCTCCAAATGTCCACTTCCAGATTCTTCCAAAAGAGTGTTTCAAACGTGCTCAAAGTAAGGGAATGTTCAACTCTTTGACTTGAATGCAGATATCACCAAGTAGTTTCTAACAGTGCTTCTGTCTAGATTTTAGATGATGATATTCCCGTTTCCAACGAAATCGTTAGAGCTATCCAAATATCCACTTACAGTTTCTACAAAAAGAGTGTTTCCAAACTGCTGCATCAAAAGAAAGGTTCAACTACTGTTAGTTGAGGACACACATAACAAAGAAGTTTGTGAGAATGCTTCTGTCTAGATTTTGTATGACGATATTCCCTTTTCCAACGATATCGTTAAAGCAATCTAAATATCAATTTGCAGAATCCACAAAAATAGAGTTTCAAAGCTGCTCTATAAAAAGAAAGGTTCCACTCTGTTAGCTGAGTACACACATCACAAACTTGTTTCTGAGAATCCTTCTGTCTCGTTTTTATGGGAAGATATTTACTTTTTCACCGTAGGCATCAAAGCGCTCCAAATGTCCACATCCAGATACTCCAGAAAGAGTGTTTCAAACCTGCTCTATGAAAGGGAATCTTCAACTCTATGAGTTGAATGCAGACATCAGAAAGAAATTTCTGAGAATGCTGCTACCTTTTATTTGAATTCCCGCTTCCAACGAAATCCTCCAAGCTATCCAAATATCCACTTGCATTTTCCACAAAAAGAGTGTTTCAAAACTGCTCTATCAATAGAAATGTTCAACTCCTTTAGCTGGGTACACACATCACAAACAAGTTTCTGAGAATGCTTCTGTCTATTTTTTATGGGAAGATATTTCCTTTTTCACCGTAGGCGTCAAGGCGATCGAAATGTCCACTTCCACAAACTACAAAAAGAGTGTTTCAAACCTGCTCTATGAAAGGCCATGTTCATCTCTATGAGTCGAATGGAAATATCCGAAAGAAATTTCTGGGAATGCTGCTGTCTAGTTTTTATACGAATTCCCGCTTCCAACGAAATCCTCAAAGCAATCCAAATATCCACTTGCAGAATCCACAAAAAGAGTGTTTCAAAACTGCTCTATCAATAGAAAGGTTCAACTCTTTTAGTTGAGTACACACATCACAAACAATTTTCTGAGAATGCTTCTGTCTGGCTTTTATTGGAAGACGTTTCCTTTTCACCAAAGGCATCAAAGCGTTCCAAATGTCCACTTCCAGATTCTTCCAAAAGAGTGTTTCAAACGTGCTCAAAGTAAGGGAATGTTCAACTCTGTGACTTGAATGCAGATATCACCAAGTAGTTTCTAATAGTGCTTCTGTCTAGGTTTTAGATGATGATATTCCCGTTTCCAACGAAATCGTTAGAGCTATCCAAATATCCACTTACAGTTTCTACAAAAAGAGTGTTTCCAAACTGCTGCATCAAAAGAAAGGTTCAACTCTGTTAGTTGAGGACACACATCACAAAGAAGTTTGTGAGAATGCTTCTGTCTAGATTTTGTATGACGATATTCCGTTTTCCAACGATATCGTTAAAGCAATCTAAATATCAATTTGCAGAATCCACAAAAATAGAGTTTCAAAGCTGCTCTGTAAAAAGAAAGGGTTCCACTCTGTTAGCTGAGTACACACATCACAAACTTGTTTCTCAGAATCCTTCTGTCTCGTTTTTATGGGAAGATATTTACTTTTCCACCGTAGGCATCAAAGCGCTCCAAATGTCCACATCCAGATACTCCAGAAAGAGTGTTTCAAACCTGCTCTATGAAAGGGAATCTTCAACTCCATGAGTTGAATGCAGACATCACAAAGAAATTTCTGAGAATGCTGCTGTCTACCTTTTATTTGAATTCCCGCTTCCAACGAAATCCTCCAAGCTATCCAAATATCCACTTGCAGATTCCACAAAAAGAGTGTTTCAAAACTGCTCTCTATCAATGGCAAAGTTCAACTCTGTTAGTTGAGGACACATATCACCAACAAGTTTCTGAGAATGCTTCTGTCTATATTTTATGGGAAGATATTTCCTTTTTCACCGTAGGCGTCAAGGCGATCGAAATGTCCACTTCCACAAACTACAAAAAGAGTGTTTCAAACCTGCTCTCTGAAAGGCCATGTTCATCTCTATGAGGTGAATGGAAATATCCGAAAGAAATTTCTGGGAATGCTGCTGTCTAGTGTTTATACGAATTCCCGCTTCCAACGAAATCCTCAAAGCAATCCAAATATCCACTTGCAGAATCCACAAAAAGAGTGTTTCAAAACTGCTCTATCAATAGAAAGGTTCAACTCTTTTAGTTGAGTACACACATGACGAACAAGTTTCTCAGAATGCTTCTGTCTGGCTTTTATTGGAAGACGTTTCCTTTTCAACAAAGGCATCAAAGCGCTCCAAATGTCCACTTCCAGATTCTTCCAAAAGAGTGTTTCAAACGTGCTCAAAGTAAGGGAATGTTCAACTCTGTGACTTGAATGCAGATATCACCAAGTAGTTTCTAATAGTGCTTCTGTCTAGATTTTAGATGATGATATTCCCGTTTCCAACAAAATCGTTAGAGCTATCCAAATATCCACTTACAGTTTCTACAAAAAGAGTGTTTCCAAACTGCTGCATCAAAAGAAAGGTTCAACTCTGTTAGTTGAGGACACACATCACAAAGAAGTTTGTGAGAATGCTTCTGTCTAGTATTTTGTATGACGATATTCCCTTTTCCAACGATATCGTTAAAGCAATCTAAATATCAATTTGCAGAATCCACGAAAATAGAGTTTCAAAGCTGCTCTGTAAAAATAAAGGTTCCACTCTGTTAGCTGAGTACACACATCACAAACTTGTTTCTGAGAATCCTTCTGTCTCGTTTTTATGGGAAGATATTTACTTTTCCACCGTAGGCATCAAAGCGCTCCAAATGTCCACATCCAGATACTCCAGAACGAGTGTTTCAAACCTGCTCTATGAAAGGGAATCTTCAACTCTATGACTTGAATGCAGACATCAGAAAGAAATTTCTGAGAATGCTGCTGTCTAACTTTTATTTGAATTCCCGCTTCCAACGAAATCCTCCAAGCTATCCAAATATCCACCTGCATTTTCCACAAAAAGAGTGTTTCAAAACTGCTCTATCAATAGAAATGTTCAACTCCTTTGGCTGGGTACACACATCACAAACAAGTCTCTGAGAATGCTTCTGTCTAGTTTTTATGGGAAGACATTCCCTTTTTCACCAAAGACATCAAAGCGCTCCAAATGTCCACTTCCAGACACTACAAAAAGAGTGTTTCAAACGTGCTCTAAGAAAGCGAATGTTCAACTCTGTGACTTGAATGCAGATATCACACAGTAGTTTCTGAGAGTGCTTCTGTCTAGATTTTAGATGATGATATTCCCGTTTCCAACGAAATCATTAGAGCTATCCAAATATCCACTTAGAGTTTCTACAAAAAGAGTGTTTCCAAACTGCTGCATCAAAAGAGAGGTTCCACTCTGTTAGCTGAGTACACACATCACAAACTTGTTTCTCAGAATCCTTCTGTCTCGTTTTTATGGGAAGATATTTACTTTTCCACCGTAGGCATCAAAGCGCTCCAAATGTCCACATCCAGATACTCCAGAAAGAGTGTTTCAAACCTGCTCTATGAAAGGGAATCTTCAACTCTATGAGTTGAATGCACACATCAGAAAGAAATTTCTGAGAATGCTGCTGTCTACCTTTTATTTGAATTCCCGCTTCCAACGAAATCCTCCAAGCTATCCAAATACCCACTTGCATTTTCCACAAAAAGAGGGTTTCAAAACTGCTCTCTATCAATGGCAAAGTTCAACTCCTTTAGCTGGGTACACACATCACAAACAAGTTTCTGAGAATGATTCTGTCTACTTTTTAAGGGAAGACATTTCCTTTTTCACCAAAGGCATCAAAGCGCTCCAAATGTCCACTTCCAGATTCTACAAAAAGTGTGTTTCAAACCTGCTCTAAGTAAGGGAGTTTTCAACTCTGTGACTGGAATGCAGATATCACAAAGTAGTTTCTGAGACTGCTTCTGTCTAGATTTTAGATGATTATATTCCCGTTTCCAACGAAATCATTAGAGCTATCCAAATATCCACTTACAGTTTCTACAAAAAGAGTGTTTCCAAACTGCTGCATCAAAAGAGAGGTTCCACTCTGTTAGCTGAGTACACACATCACAAACTTGTTTCTCAGAATCCTTCTGTCTAGTTTTTATGGGAAGATATTTACTTTTTCACCGTAGGTATCAAAGCGCTCCAAATGTCCACATCCAGGTACTACAGAAAGAGTGTTTCAAACCTGCTCTATGAAAGGGAATCTTCAACTCTATGAGTTGAATGCAGACATCAGAAAGTAATTTCTGAGAATGCTGCTGTCTACCTTTGATTTGAATTCCCGCTTCCAACGAAATCCTCCAAGCTATCCAAATATCCACTTGCAGATTCCACAAAAAGAGTGTTTCAAAACTGCTCTCTATCAATGGCAAAGTTCAACTCTGTTAGTTGAGGACACATATCACCAACAAGTTTCTGAGAATGCTTCTGTCTATTTTTTATGGGAAGATATTTCCTTTTTCACCGTAGGCGTCAAGGCGATCGAAATGTCCACTTCCACAAACTACAAAAAGAGTGTTTCAAACCTGCTCTATGAAAGGCCATGTTCATCTCTATGAGTCGAATGGAAATATCCGAAAGAAATTTCTGGGAATGCTGCTGTCTAGTTTTTATACGAATTCCCGCTTCCAACGAAATCCTCAAAGCAATCCCAATATCCACTTGCAGAATCCACAAAAAGAGTGTTTCAAAACTGCTCTATCAATAGAAAGGTTCAACTCTTTTAGTTGAGTACACACATCACGAACAAGTTTCTGAGAACGCTTCTGTCTGGCTTTTATTTGAAGACGTTTCCTTTTCACAAAAGGCATCAAAGCGCTCCAAATGTCCACTTCCAGATTCTTCCAAAAGAGTGTTTCAAACGTGCTCAAAGTAAGGGAATGTTCAACTCTGTGACTTGAATGCAGATATCACCAAGTAGTTTCTAATAGTGCTTCTGTCTAGATTTTAGATGATGATATTCCCGTTTCCAACGAAATCGTTAGAGCTATCCAAATATCCAGTTACAGTTTCTACCAAAAGGGTGTTTCCAAATTGCTGCATCAAAAGAAAGCTTCAACTCTGTTAGTTGAGGACACACATCACAAAGAAGTTTGTGAGAATGCTTCTGTCTAGATTTTGTATGACGATATTCCCTTTTCCAACGATATCGTTAAAACAATCTAAATATCAATTTGCAGAATCCACAAAAATAGAGTTTCAAAGCTGCTCTGTAAAAAGAAAGGTTCCACTCTTTTAGCTGAGTACACACATCACAAACTTGTTTCTGAGAATCCTTCTGTCTCGTTTTTCTGGGAAGATATTTACTTTTTCACCGTAGGCATCAAAGCGCTCCAAATGTCCACATCCAGATACTCCAGAAGGAGTGTTTCAAACCTGCTCTATGAAAGGGAATCTTCAACTCTATGAGTTGAATGCAGACATCAGAAAGAAATTTCTGAGAATGCTGCTGTCTACCTTTTATTTGAATTCCCGCTTCCAAAGAAATCCTCCAAGCTATCCAAATATCCACCTGCATTTTCCACAACAAGAGTGTTTCAAAACTGCTCTATCAATAGAAATGTTCAACTCCTTTGGCTGGGTACACACATCACAAACAAGTTTCTGAGAATGCTTCTGTCTAGTTTTTATGGGAAGACATTCCCTTTTTCAACAAAGGCATCAAAGCGCTCCAAATGTCCACTTCCAGACACTACAAAAAGAGTGTTTCAAACGTGCTCTAAGAAAGCGAATGTTCAACTCTGTGACTTGAATGCAGATATCACAAAGTAGTTTCTGAGAGGGCTTCTGTCTAGATTTTAGATGACGATATTCCCGTTTCCAGCGAAATCGTTAGAGCTATCCAAATATCCACTTACAGTTTCTACAAAAAGAGTGTTTCCAAACTGCTGCATCAAAAGAAAGGTTCAACTCTGTTAGTTGAGGACACACATCACAAAGAAGTTTGTGAGAATGCTTCTGTCTAGATTTTGTATGACCATATTCCCTTTTCCAACGATATAGTTAAAGCAATCTAAATATCAATTTGCAGAATCCACAAAAATAGAGTTTCAAAGCTGCTCTGTAAAAAGAAAGGTTCCACTCTGTTAGCTGAGTACACACATCACAAACTTGTTTCTGAGAATCCTTCTGTCTCGTTTTTATGGGAAGATATTTACTTTTCCACCGTAGGCATCAAAGCGTTCCAAATGTCCACATCCAGATACTCCAGAAAGACTGTTTCAAACCTGCTCTATGAAAGGGAATCTTCAACTCTATGACTTGAATGCAGACATCAGAAAGAAATTTCTGAGAATGCTGCTGTCTACCTTTTATTTGAATTCCCGCTTCCAACGAAATCCTCCAAGCTATCCAAATATCCACCTGCATTTTCCACAAAAAGAGCGTTTCAAAACTGCTCTATCAATAGAAATGTTCAACTCCTTTGGCTGGGTACACACATCACAAACAAGTTTCTGAGAATGCTTATCTGTCTAGTTTTTATGGGAAGACGTTCCCTTTTTCAACAAAGGCATCAAAGCGCTCCAAATGTCCACTTCCAGACACTACAAAAAGAGTGTTTCCAACGTGCTCTAAGAAAGCGAATGTTCAACTCTGTGACTTGAATGCAGATATCACAAAGTAGTTTTCTGAGAGGGCTTCTGTCTAGATTTTAGATGATGATATTCCCGTTTCCAACGAAATCATTAGAGCTATCCAAATATCCACTTACAGTCTCTACAAAAAGAGTGTTTCCAAACTGCTGCATCAAAAGAGAGGTTCCACTCTGTTAGCTGAGTACACACATCACAAACTTGTTTCTCAGAATCCTTCTGTCTCGTTTTTATGGGAAGATATTTACTTTCTCACCGTAGGCATCAAAGCGCTCCAAATGTCCACATCCAGATACTCCAGAAAGAGGGTTTCAAACGTGCTCTATGAAAGGGAATCTTCAACTCTATGAGTTGAATGCAGACATCAGAAAGAAATTTCTGAGAATGCTGCTGTCTACCTTTATTTGAATTCCCGCTTCCAACGAAATCCTCCAAGCTATCCAAATATCCACTTGCAGATTCCACAAAAAGAGTGTTTCAAAACTGCTCTCTATCAATGGCAAAGTTCAACTCTGTTAGTTGAGGACACATATCACCAACAAGTTTCTGAGAATGCTTCTGTCTATTTTTTATGGGAAGATATTTCCTTTTTCAGCGTAGGCGTCAAGGCGATCGAAATGTCCACTTCCACAAACTACAAAAAGAGTGTTTCAAACCTGCTCTATGAAAGGCCATGTTCATCTCTATGAGTTGAATGGAAATATCCGAAAGAAATTTCTGGGAATGCTGCTGTCTAGTTTTTATATGAATTCCCGCTTCCAACGAAATCCTCAAAGCAATCCAAATATCCACTTGCAGAATCCACAAAAAGAGTGTTTCAAAACTGCGCTATCAATAGAAAGGTTCAACTCTTTTAGTTGAGTACACACATCATGAACAAGTTTCTGAGAATGCTTCTGTCTGGCTTTTATTGGAAGACGTTTCCTTTTCACCAAAGGCATCAAAGCGCTCCAAATGTCCACTTCCAGATTCTTCCAAAAGAGTGTTTCAAACGTGCTCGAAGTAAGGGAATGTTCAACTCTGTGACTTGAATGCAGATATCACCAAGTAGTTTCTAATAGTGCTTTCTGTCTACATTTTAGATGATGATATTCCCGTTTCCAACGAAATCGCTAGAGCTATCCAAATATCCAGTTACAGTTTCTACCAAAAGGGTGTTTCCAAATTGCTGCATCAAAAGAAAGGTTCAACTCTGTTAGTTGAGGACACACATCACAAAGAAGTTTGTGAGAATGCTTCTGTCTAGATTTTGTATGACGATATTCCCTTTTCCAACGATATCGTTAAAGCAATCTAAATATCAATTTGCAGAATCCACAAAAATAGAGTTTCAAAGCTGCTCTGTAAAAAGAAAGGTTCCACTCTGTTAGCTGAGTACACACATTACAAACTTGTTTCTGAGAATCCTTCTGTCTCGTTTTTATGGGAAGATATTTACTTTTTCACCGTAGGCATCAAAGCGCTCCAAATGTCCACATCCAGATACTCCAGAAAGACTGTATCAAACCTGCTCTATGAAAGGGAATCTTCAACTCTATGAGTTGAATGCAGACATCAGAAAGAAATTTCTGAGAATGCTGCTGTCTACCTTTTATTTGAATTCCCGCTTCCAACAAAAACCTCCCAGCCATCCAAATATCCACTTGCAGATTCCACAAAAAGAGTGTTTCAAAACTGCTCTATCAATAGAAATGTTCAACTCCTTTCGCTGGGTACACACATCACAAACAAGTTTCTGAGAAAGCTTCTTTCTAGATTTTATGGGAAGACATTTCCTTTTTCACCAAAGGCATCAAAGAGCTCCAAATGTCCACTTCCAGATACTACAAAAAGAGTGTTTCAAAAGTGCTCTAAGAAAGCGAATGTTCAACTCTATGACTTGAATGCAGATATCAAAAAGTAGTTTCTGAGAGTGCTTCTGTCTAGATTTTAGATGATGATATTCCCGTTTCCAACGAAATCATTAGAGCAATCCAAATATCCACTTACAGTTTCTACAAAAAGAGTGTTTCCAAACTGCTGCATCAAAAGAGAGGTTCCACTCTGTTAGCTGAGTACACACATCACAAACTTGTTTCTCAGAATCCTGCTGTCTACCTTTTATTTGAATTCCCGCTTCCAACGAAATCCTCCAAGCTATCCAAATATCCACTTGCAGATTCCACAAAAAGAGTGTTTCAAAACTGCTCTCTATCAATGGCAAAGTTCAACTCTGTTAGTTGAGGACACATATCACCAACAAGTTTCTGAGAATGCTTCTGTCTATTTTTTATGGGAAGATATTTCCTTTTTCACCGTAGGCGTCAAGGCGATCGAAATGTCCACTTCCACAAACTACAAAAAGAGTGTTTCAAACGTGCTCTATGAAAGGCGATGTTCATCTCTATGAGTTGAATGGAAATATCCGAAAGAAATTTCTGGGAATGCTGCTGTCTAGTGTTTATACGAATTCCCGCTTCCAACGAAATCCTCAAAGCAATCCAAATATCCACTTGCAGAATCCACAAAAAGAGTGTTTCAAAACTGCTCTATCAATAGAAAGGTTCAACTCTTTTAGTTGAGTACACACATCACGAACAAGTTTACTGAGAATGCTTTCTGTCTGGCATTTATTGGAAGACGTTTCCTTTTCACCAAAGGCATCAAAGCGCTCCAAATGTCCACTTCCAGATTCTTCCAAAAGAGTGTTTCAAACGTGCTCAAAGTAAGGGAATGTTCAACTCTGTGACTTGAATGCAGATATCACCAAGTAGTTTCTAATAGTGCTTCTGTCTAGATTTTAGATGATGATATTCCCGTTTCCAACGAAATCATTAGAGCTATCCAAATATCCACTTACAGTTTCTACAAAAAGAGTGTTTCCAAACTGCTGCATCAAAAGAAAGGTTCAACTCTGTTAGTTGAGGACACACATCACAAAGAAGTTTGTGAGAATGCTTCTGTCTAGATTTTGTATGACGATATTCCCTTTTCCAACGATATCATTAAAGCAATCTAAATATCCATTTGCAGAATCCACAAAAATAGAGTTTCAAAGCTGCTCTGTAAAAAGAAAGGTTCCACTCTGTTAGCTGAGTACACACATCACAAACTTGTTTCTCAGAATCCTTCTGTCTAGTTTTTATGGGAAGATATTTACTTTTTCACCGTAGGCATCAAAGCGTTCCAAATGTCCACATCCAGATAGTACAGAAAGAGTGTTTCAAACCTGCTCTATGAAAGGGAATGTTCTACTCTATGAGTTGAATGTACACATCACAAAGAAATTTCTGAGAATGCTGCTGTCTACCTTTTATTTGAATTCCCGCTTCCAACGAAATCCTCCAAGCTATCCAAATATCCACTTGCAGATTCCACAGAAGGAGTGTTTCAAAACTGCTCTCTATCAATGGCAAAGTTCAACTCTGTTAGTTGAGAACACATATCACCAACAAGTTTCTGAGAATGCTTCTGTCTATTTTTTATGGGAAGATATTTCCTTTTTCACCGTAGGCATCAAGGCGATCGAAATGTCCACTTCCACAAACTACAAAAAGAGTGTTTCAAACCTGCTCTATGAAAGGCCATGTTCACCTCTATGAGTTGAATGGAAATATCCGAAAGAAATTTCTGGGAATGCTGCTGTCTAGTGTTTATACGAATTTCCGCTTCCAACGAAATCCTCAAAGCAATCCAAATATCCACTTGCAGAATCCACAAAAAGAGTGTTTCAAAACTGCTCTATCAATAGAAAGGTTCAACTCTTTTAGTTGAGTACACACATCACGAACAAGTTTCTGAGAATGCTTCTGTCTGGCTTTTATTGGAAGACGTTTCCTTTTCACCAAAGGCATCAAAGCGCTCCAAATGTCCACTTCCAGATTCTTCCAAAAGAGTGTTTCAAACGTGCTCAAAGTAAGGGAATGTTCAACTCTGTGACTTGAATGCAGATATCACCAAGTAGTTTCTAATAGTGCTTCTGTCTACATTTTAGATGATGATATTCCCGTTTCCAACGAAATCGTTAGAGCTATCCAAATATCCAGTTACAGTTTCTACCAAAAGGGTGTTTCCAAAATGCTGCATCAAAAGAAAGGTTCAACTCTGTTAGTTGAGGACACACATCACAAAGAAGTTTGCGAGAATGCTTCTGTCTAGATTTTGTATGACCATATTCCCTTTTCCAGCGATATCATTAAAGCAGTCTAAATATCCATTTGCAGAATCCACAAAAATAGAGTTTCAAAGCTGCTCTGTAAAAAGAAAGGTTCCACTCTGTTAGCTGAGTACACACATCACAAACTTGTTTCTGAGAATCCTTCTGTCTCGTTTTGATGGGAAGATATTTACTTTTTCACCGTAGGCATCAAAGCGCTCCAAATGTCCACATCCAGATACTCCAGAAACAGTGTTTCAAACCTGCTCTATGAAAGGGAATCTTCAACTCTATGAGTTGAATGCAGACATCAGAAAGAAATTTCTGAGAATGCTGCTGTCTATCTTTTATTTGAATTCCCGCTTCCAACGAAATCCTCCAAGCTATCCAAATATCCACTTGCATTTTCCACAAAAAGAGTGTTTCAAAACTGCTCTATCAATAGAAATGTTCAACTCCTTTAGCTGGGTACACACATCACAAACAAGTTTCTGAGAATGCTTCTGTCTAGTTTTTATGGGAAGACATTCCCTTTTTCACCAAAGGCATCAAAGCGCTCCAAATGTCCACTTCCAGACACTACAAAAAGAGTGTTTCAAACGTGCTCTAAGAAACCGGATGTTCAACTCTGTGACTTGAATGCAGATATCACAAAGTAGTTTCTGAGAGGGCTTCTGTCTAGATTTTAGATGATGATATTCCCGTTTCCAACGAAATCATTAGAGCTATCCAAATATCCACTTACAGTTTCTACAAAAAGAGTGTTTCCAAACTGCTGCATCAAAAGAGAGGTTCCACTCTGTTAGCTGAGTACACACATCACAAACTTGTTTCTGAGAATCCTCTGTGTCGTTTTTATGGGAAGATATTTACTTTTTCACCGTAGGCATCAAAGCGCTCCAAATGTCCACATCCAGATACTCCAGAAAGAGTGTTTCAAACCTGCTCTATGAAAGGGAATCTTCAACTCTATGAGTTGAATGCAGACATCAGAAAGAAATTTCTGAGAATGCTGGCTGTCTACCTTTTATTTGAATTCCCGCTTCCAACGAAATCCTCCAAGCTATCCAAATATCCACTTGCAGATTCCACAAAAAGAGTGTTTCAAAACTGCTCTCTATCAATGGCAAAGTTCAACTCTGTTAGTTGAGGACACATATCACCAACAAGTTTCTGAGAATGCTTCTGTCTATTTTTTATGGGAAGATATTTCCTTTTTCACTGTAGGCGTCAAGGCGATCGAAATGTCCACTTCCACAAACTACAAAAAGAGTGTTTCAAACCTGCTCTATGAAAGGCGATGTTCATCTCAATGAGTTGAATGGAAATATCCGAAAGAAATTTCTGGGAATGCTGCTGTCTTGTTTTTATATGAATTCCCGCTTCCAACGAAATCCTCAAAGCAATCCAAATATCCACTTGCAGAATCCACAAAAAGAGTGTTTCAAAACTGCTCTATCAATAGAAAGGTTCAACTCTTTTAGTTGAGTACACACATCACCAACAAGTTTCTGAGAATGCTTCTGTCTGGCTTTTATTGGAAGACGTTTCCTTTTCACCAAAGGCATCAAAGCGCTCCAAATGTCCACTTCCAGATTCTTCCAAAAGAGAGTTTCAAACGTGGTCGAAGTAAGGGAATGTTCAACTCTGTGACTTGAATGCAGATATCACCAAGTAGTTTCTAATAGTGCTTCTGTCTAGATTTTAGATGATGATATTCCCGTTTCCAACGAAATCGTTAGAGCTATCCAAATATCCACTTACAGTTTCTACAAAAAGAGTGTTTCCAAACTGCTGCATTAAAAGAAAGGTTCAACTCTGTTAGTTGAGGACACACATCACAAAGAAGTTTGTGAGAATGCTTCTGTCTAGATTTTGTATGAAGATATTCCCTTTTCCAACGATGTCGTTAAATCAACCCAAATGTCAATTTGCAGAATCCACAGAAATAGAGTTTCAAAGCTGCTCTGTAAGAAGAAAGGATCCACTCTGTTAGCTGAGTACACACATCACAAACTTGTTTCTGAGAATCCTTCTGTCTCGTTTTTATGGGAAGATATTTACTTTTCCACCGTAGGCATCAAAGCGCTCCAAATGTCCACATCCAGATACTCCAGAAGGAGTGTTTCAAACCTGCTCTACGAAAGGGAATCTTCAACTGTATGAGTTGAATGCAGACATCAGAAAGAAATTTCTGAGAATGCTGCTGTCTACCTTTTATTTGAATTCCCGCTTCCAACGAAATCCTCCAAGCTATCCAAATATCCACCTGCATTTTCCACAAAAAGAGTGTTTCAAAACTGCTCTATCAATAGAAATGTTCAACTCCTTTGGCTGGGTACACACATCACAAACAAGTTTCTGTGAATGCTTCTGTCTAGTTTTTATGGGAAGACGTTCCCTTTTTCACCAAAGGCATCAAAGCGCTCCAAATGTCCACTTCCAGACACTACAAAAAGAGTGTTTCAAACGTGCTCTAAGAAAGCGAATGTTCAACTCTGTGACTTGAATGCACATATCACAAAGTAGTTTCTGAGAGGGCTTCTCTCTAGATTTTAGATGATGATATTCCCGTTTCCAACGAAATCATTAGAGCTATCCAAATATCCACTTACAGTTTCTACAAAAAGAGTGTTTCCAAACTGCTGCATCAAAAGAGAGGTTCCACTCTGTTAGCTGAGTACACACATCACAAACTTGTTTCTCAGAATCCTTCTGTCTCGTTTTTATGGGAAGATATTTACTTTTCCACCGTAGGCATCAAAGCGCTCCAAATGTCCACATCCAGATACTCCAGAAAGAGTGTTTCAAACCTGCTCTATGAAAGGGAATCTTCAACTCTATGAGTTGAATGCAGACATGAGAAAGAAATTTCTGAGAATGCTGCTGTCTACCTTTTATTTGAATTCCCGCTTCCAACGAAATCCTCCAAGCTATCCAAATATCCACCTGCATTTTCCACAAAAAGAGCGTTTCAAAACTGCTCTATCAATAGAAATGTTCAACTCCTTTAGCTGGGTACACACATCACAAACAAGTTTCTGAGAATGCTTCTGTCTAGTTTTTATGGGAAGACATTTCCTTTTTCACCAAAGGCATCAAAGAGCTCCAAATGTCCACTTCCAGATACTACAAAAAGAGTGTTTCAAAAGTGCTGTAAGAAAGCGAATGTTCAACTCTGTGACTTGAATGCAGATATCACAAAGTAGTTTCTGAGAGCGCTTCTGTCTAGATTTTAGATGATGATATTCCCGTTTCCAACGAAATCATTAGAGCTATCCAAATATCCACTTACAGTTTCTACAAAAAGAGTGTTTCCAAACTGCTGCATCAAAAGAGAGGTTCCACTCTGTTAGCTGAGTACACACATCACAAACTTTTTTCTCAGAATCCTTCTGTCTCGTTTTTATGGGAAGATATTTACTTTTTCACCGTAGGCATCAAAGCGCTCCAAATGTCCACATCCAGATACTACAGAAAGAGTATTTCAAACCTGCCCTATGAAAGGGAATGCTCAACTCTATGAGTTGAATGCAGACATCAGAAAGAAATTTCTGAGAATGCTGCTGTCTACCTTTTATTTGAATTCCCGCTTCCAACGAAATCCTCCAAGCTATCCAAATATCCACTTGCAGATTCCACAAAAAGAGTGTTTCAAAACTGCTCTCTATCAATGGCAAAGTTCAACTCTGTTAGTTGAGGACACATATCACCAACAAGTTTCTGAGAATGCTTCTGTCTATTTTTTATGGGAAGATATTTCCTTTTTCACTGTAGGCGTCAAGGCGATCGAAATGTCCACTTCCACAAACTACAAAAAGAGTGTTTCAAACCTGCTCTATGAAAGGCGATGTTCATCTCAATGAGTTGAATGGAAATATCCGAAAGAAATTTACTGGGAATGCTGCTGTCTACATTTCATTTGAATTCCCGCTTCCAACGAAATCCTCCAAGCTATCCAAATATCCACTTGCAGATTCCACAAAAAGAGTGTTTCAAAACTGCTCTATCAATAGAAAGGTTCAACTCTTTTAGTTGAGTACACACATCACAAACAAGTTTCTGAGAATGCTTCTGTCTGGCTTTTATTGGAAGACGTTTCCTTTTCACCAAAGGCATCAAAGCGCTCCAAATGTCCACTTCCAGATTCTTCCAAAAGAGTGTATCAAACGTGCTCAAAGTAAGGGAATGTTCAACTCTGTGACTTGAATGCAGATATCACCAAGTAGTTTCTAATAGTGCTTTTGTCTACATTTTAGATGATGATATTCCCGTTTCCAACGAAATCGTTAGAGCTATCCAAATATCCAGTTACAGTTTCTACCAAAAGGGTGTTTCCAAATTGCTGCATCAAAAGAAAGGTTCAACTCTGTTAGTTGAGGACACACATCACAAAGAAGTTTGTGAGAATGCTTCTGTCTAGATTTTGTATGACGATATTCCCTTTTCCACGATATCGTTAAAGCAATCTAAATATCAATTTGCAGAATCCACAAAAATAGAGTTTCAAAGCTGCTCTGTAAAAAGAAAGGTTCCACTCTGTTAGCTGAGTACACACATCACAAACTTGTTTCTGAGAATCCTTCTGTCTCGTTTTTATGGGAAGATTATACTTTTTCACTGTAGGCATCAAAGCGCTCCAAATGTCCACATCCAGATACTACAGAAAGAGTGTTTCAAACCTGCTCTATGAAAGGGAATCTTCAACTCTATGAGTTGAATGCAGACATCAGAAAGAAATTTCTGAGAATGCTGCTGTCTACCTTTTATTTGAATTCCCGCTTCCAACGAAATCCTCCAAGCTATCCAAATATCCACTTGCAGATTCCACAAAAAGAGTGTTTCAAAACTGCTCTCTATCAATGGCAAAGTTCAACTCTGTTAGTTGAGGACACATATCACCAACAAGTTTCTGAGAATGCTTCTGTCTATTTTTTATGGGAAGATATTTCCTTTTTCACCGTAGGCGTCAAGGCGATCGAAATGTCCACTTCCGCAAACTACAAAAAGAGTGTTTCAAACCTGCTCTATGAAAGGCCATGTTCATCTCTATGAGTTGAATGGAAATATCCGAAAGAAATTTCTGGGAATGCTGCTGTCTAGTTTTTATACAAATTCCCGCTTCCAACGATATCCTCAAAGCAATCCAAATATCCACTTGCAGAATCCACAAAAAGAGTGTTTCAAAACTGCTCTATCAATAGAAAGGTTCAACTCTTTTAGTTGAGTACACACATCACAAACAAGTTTCTGAGAATGCTTCTGTCTGGCTTTTATTGGAAGACGTTTCCTTTTCACCAAAGGCATCAAGGCGCTCCAAATGTCCACTTCCAGATTCTTCCAAAAGAGTGTTTCAAACGTGCTCAAAGTAAGGGAATGTTCAACTCTGTGACTTGAATGCAGATATCACCAAGTAGTTTCTAATAGTGCTTCTGTCTAGATTTTAGATGATGATATTCCCGTTTCCAACGAAATCGTTAGAGCTATCCAAATATCCAGTTACAGTTTCGACCAAAAGGGTGTTTCCAAATTGCTGCATCAAAAGAAAGGTTCAACTCTGTTAGTTGAGGACACACATCACAAAGAAGTTTGTGAGAATGCTTCTGTCCAGATTTTGTATGACGATATTCCCTTTTCCAACGATATCGTTAAAGCAATCTAAATATCCATTTGCAGAATCCACAAAAATAGAGTTTCAAAGCTGCTCTGTAAAAAGAAAGGTTCCACTCTGTTAGCTGAGTACACACATCTCAAACTTGTTTCTCAGAATCCTTCTGTCTCGTTTTTATGACAAGATATTTACTTTTTCACCATAGGCATGAAAGCGCTCCAAATGTCCACATCCAGATACTCCAGAAAGAGTGTTTCAAACCTGCTCTATGAAAGGGAATCTTAAACTCTATGAGTTGAATGCAGACATCAGAAAGAAATTTCTGAGAATGCTGCTGTCTACCTTTTATTGGAATTCCCGCTTCCAACGAAATCCTCCAAGCTATCCAAATATCCACTTGCAGATTCCACAAAAAGAGTGTTTCAAAACTGCTCTCTATCAATGGCAAAGTTCAACTCTGTTAGTTGAGGACACATATCACCAACAAGTTTCTGAGAATGCTTCTGTCTATTTTTTATGGGAAGATATTTCCTTTTTCACCGTAGGCGTCAAGGCGATCGAAATGTCCACTTCCACAAACTACAAAAAGAGTGTTTCAAACCTGCTCTATGAAAGGCCATGTTCATCTCTATGAGTCGAATGGAAATATCCGAAAGAAATTTCTGGGAATGCTGCTGTCTAGTTTTTATACGAATTCCCGCTTCCAACGAAATCCTCAAAGCAATCCAAATATCCACTTGCAGAATCCACAAAAAGAGTGTTTCAAAACTGCTCTATCAATAGAAAGGTTCAACTCTTTTAGTTGAGTACACACATCACAAACAAGTTTCTGAGAATGCTTCTGTCTGGCTTTTATTGGAAGACGTTTCCTTTTCACCAAAGGCATCATAGCGCTCCAAATGTCCACTTCCAGATTCTTCCAAAAGAGTGTTTCAAACGTGCTCAAAGTAAGGGAATGTTCAACTCTGTGACTTGAATGCAGATATCACCAAGTAGTTTCTAATAGTGCTTCTGTCTAGATTTTAGATGATGATATTCCCGTTTCCAACGAAATCGTTAGAGCTATCCAAATATCCACTTACAGTTTCTACCAAAAGGGTGTTTCCAAACTGCTGCATCAAAAGAAAGGTTCAACTCTGTTAGTTGAGGACACACATCACAAAGAAGTTTGTGAGAATACTTTCTGTCTAGAATTTTGTATGACGATATTCCCTTTTCCAACGATATCGTTAAAGCAATCTAAATACCAATTTGCAGAATCCACAAAAATAGAGTTTCAAAGCTGCTCTGTAAAAAGAAAGGTTCCACTCTGTTAGCTGAGTACACACATCACAAACTTGTTTCTCAGAATCCTCTGTGTCGTTTTTATGGGAAGATATTTACTTTTTCACCGTAGGCATCAAAGCGCTCCAAATGTCCACATCCAGATACTCCAGAAAGAGTGTTTCAAACCTGCTCTATGAAAGGGAATCTTCAACTCTATGAGTTGAATGCAGACATCAGAAAGAAATTTCTGAGAATGCTGCTGTCTACCTTTTATTTGAATTCCCGCTTCCAACGAAATCCTCCAAGCTATCCAAATATCCACTTGCAGATTCCACAAAAAGAGTGTTTCAAAACTGCTCTCTATCAATGGCAAAGTTCAACTCTGTTAGTTGAGGACACATATCACCAACAAGTTTCTGAGAATGCTTCTGTCTATTTTTTATGGGAAGATATTTCCTTTTTCACCGTAGGCGTCAAGGCGATCGAAATGTCCACTTCCACAAACTACAAAAAGTGTGTTTCAAACCTGCTCTATGAAAGGCCATGTTCATCTCTATGAGTCGAATGGAAATATCCGAAAGAAATTTCTGGGAATGCTGCTGTATAGTTTTTATACGAATTCCCGCTTCCAACGAAATCCTCAAAGCAATCCAAATATCCACTTGAAGAATCCACAAAAAGAGTGTTTCAAAACTGCTCTATCAATAGAAAGGTTCAAATCTTTTAGTTGAGTACACTCATCACGAACAAGTTTCTGAGAATGCTTCTGTCTGGCTTTTATTGGAAGACGTTTCCTTTTCACCAAAGGCATCAAAGCGCTCCAAATGTCCACTTCCAGATTCTTCCAAAAGAGTGTTTGAAAGGTGCTCAAAGTAAGGGAATGTTCAACTCTGTGACTTGAATGCAGATATCACCAAGTAGTTTCTAATAGTGCTTCTGTCTAGATTTTAGATGATGATATTACCGTTTCCAACAAAATCGTTAGAGCTATCCAAATATCCACTTACAGTTTCTACAAAAAGAGTGTTTCCAAACTGCTGCATCAAAAGAAAGGTTCAACTCTGTTAGTTGAGGACACACATCACAAAGAAGTTTGTGAGAATGCTTCCTGTCTAGATTTTGTATGACGATATTCCCTTTTCCAACGATATCGTTAAAGCAATCTAAATATCAATTTGCAGAATCCACAAAAATAGAGTTTCAAAGCTGCTCTGTAAAAAGAAAGGTTCCACTCTTTTAGCTGAGTACACACATCACAAACTTGTTTCTGAGAATCCTTCTGTCTAGTTTTTATGGGAAGATATTTACTTTTTCACCGTAGGCATCAAAGCGCTCCAAATGTCCACATCCAGATACTCCAGAAAGAGTGTTTCAAACCTGCTCTATGAAAGGGAATCTTCAACTCTATGAGTTGAATGCAGACATCAGAAAGAAATTTCTGAGAATGCTGCTGTCTACCTTTTATTTGAATTCCCGCTTCCAACGAAATCCTCCAAGCTATCCAAATATCCACTTGCATTTTCCACAAAAAGAGTGTTTCAAAACTAATCTATCAATAGAAATGTTCAACTCCTTTAGCTGGGTACACACATCACAAACAAGTTTCTGAGAATGCTTCTGTCTAGTTTTTATGGGAAGACATTCCCTTTTTCACCAAAGGCATCAAAGCGCTCCAAATGTCCACTTCCAGACACTACAAAAAGAGTGTTTCAAACGTGCTCTAAGAAAGCGAATGTTCAACTCTGTGACTTGAATGCAGATATCACAATGTAGTTTCTGAGAGGGCTTCTGTCTAGATTTTAGATGATGATATTCCCGTTTCCAACGAAATCATTAGAGCTATCCAAATATCCACGTACAGTTTCTACAAAAAGAGTGTTTCCAAACTGCTGCATCAAAAGAGAGGTTCCACTCTGTTAGCTGAGTACACACATCACAAACTTGTTTCTCAGAATCCTTCTGTCTAGTTTTTACGGGAAGATATTTACTTTTTCACCGTAGGTATCAAAGCGCTCCAAATGTCCACATCCAGATACTACAGAAAGAGTGTTTCAAACCTGCTCTATGAAAGGGAATCTTCAACTCTATGAGTTGAATGCAGACATCAGAAAGTAATTTCTGAGAATGCTGCTGTCTACCTTTCATTTGAATTCCCGCTTCCAACGAAATCCTCCAAGCTATCCAAATATTCACTTGCAGATTCCACAAAAAGAGTGTTTCAAAACTACTCTATCAATAGAAAGGTACAACTGTGTCAGTTGAGGACACACATCACAAACAAGTTTCTGAGAATTCTTCAATTTTTTATGGGAAGACATTTCCTTTTTCACCGTAGGCATCAAAGCGCTCCAAATGTCCACATCCAGATAGTACAGAAAGAGTGTTTCAAACCTGCTCTATTAAAGGGAATGTTCAACTCTATGAGTTGAATGCAAACATCAGGAAGAAATTTCTGAGAATGCTGCTGTCTAGTGTTTATATGAATTCCCGCTTCCAACGAAATCCTCAAAGCAATCCAAATATCCACTTGCAGAATCCACAAAAAGAGTGTTTCAAAACTGCTCTATCAATAGAAAGGTTCAACTCTTTTAGTTGAGTACACACATCACGAACAAGTTTCTGAGAATGCTTCTGTCTGGCTTTTATTGGAAGACGTTTCCTTTTCACCAAAGGCATCAAAGCGCTCCAAATGTCCACTTCCAGATTCTTCCAAAAGAGTGTTTCAAACGTGCTCAAAGTAAGGGAATGTTCAACTCTGTGACTTGAATGCAGATATCACCAAGTAGTTTCTAATAGTGCTTCTGTCTAGATTTTAGATGATGATATTCCCGTTTCCAACGAAATCGTTAGAGCTATCCAATAATGCACTTACAGTTTCTACAAAAAGAGTGTTTCCAAACTGCTGCATCAAAAGAAAGGTTCAACTCTGTTAGTTGAGGACACACATCACAAAGAAGTTTGTGAGAATGCTTCTGTCTAGATTTTGTATGACCATATTCCCTTTTCCAACGATATCGTTAAAGCAATCTAAATATCAATTTGCAGAATCCACAAAAATAGAGTTTCAAAGCTGCTCTGTAAAAAGAAAGGTTCCACTCTGTTAGCTGAGTACACACATCACAAACTTGTTTCTGAGAATCCTTCTGTCTCGTTTTTATGGGAAGATATTTACTTTTCCACCGTAGGCATCAAAGCGCTCCAAATGTCCACATCCAGATACTCCAGAACGAGTGTTTCAAACCTGCTCTACGAAAGGGAATCTTCAACTCTATGAGTTGAATGCAGACATCAGAAAGAAATTTCTGAGAATGCTGCTGTCTACCTTTTATTTGAATTCCCGCTTCCAACGAAATCCTCCAAGCTATCCAAATATCCACTTGCATTTTCCACAACAAGAGTGTTTCAAAACTGCTCTATCAATAGAAATGTTCAACTCCTTTGGCTGGGTACACACATCACAAACAAGTTTCTGAGAATGCTTTTGTCTAGTTTTTATGGGAAGACATTCCCTTTTTCACCAAAGGCATCAAAGCGCTCCAAATGTCCACTTCCAGACACTACAAAAAGAGTGTTTCCAACGTGCTCTAAGAAAGCGAATGTTCAACTCTGTGACTTGAATGCAGATATCACAAAGTAGTTTCTGAGAGGGCTTCTGTCTAGATTTTAGATGATGATATTCCCGTTTCCAACGAAATCATTAGAGCTATCCAAATATCCACTTACAGTTTCTACAAAAAGAGAGTTTCCAAACTGCTGCATCAAAAGAGAGGTTCCACTCTGTTAGCTGAGTACACACATCACAAACTTGTTTACTCAGAATCCTTCTGTCTCGTTTTTATGGGAAGATATTTACTTTTCCACCGTAGGCATCAAAGCGCTCCAAATGTCCACATCCAGATACTCCAGAACGAGTGTTTCAAACCTGCTCTATGAAAGGGAATCTTCAACTCTATGAGTTGAATGCAGACATCAGAAAGAAATTTCTGAGAATGATGCTGTCTACCTTTTATTTGAATTCCCGCTTCCAACGAAATCCTCCAAGCTATCCAAATATCCACTTGCAGATTCCACAAAAAGAGTGTTTCAAAACTGCTCTCTATCAATGGCAAAGTTCAACTCTGTTAGTTGAGGACACATATCACCAACAAGTTTCTGAGAATGCTTCTGTCTATTTTTTATGGGAAGATATTTCCTTTTTCACCGTAGGCGTCAAGGCGATCGAAATGTCCACTTCCACAAACTACAAAAAGAGTGTTTCAAACCTGCTCTATGAAAGGCGATGTTCATCTCTATGAGTTGAATGGAAATATCCGAAAGAAATTTCTGGGAATGCTGCTGTCTAGTTTTTATATGAATTCCCGCTTCCAACGAAATCCTCAAAGCAATCCAAATATCCACTTGCAGAATCCACAAAAAGAGTGTTTCAAAACTGCTCTATCAATAGAAAGGTTCAACTGCTTTTAGTTGAGTACACACATCACGAACAAGTTTCTGAGAATGCTTCTGTCTGGCTTTTATTGGAAGACGTTTCCTTTTCACCAAAGGCATCAAAGCGCTCCAAATGTCCACTTCCAGATTCTTCCAAAAGAGTGTTTCAAACGTGCTCGAAGTAAGGGAATGTTCTACTCTGTGACTTGAATGCAGATATCACCAAGTAGTTTCTAATAGTGCTTCTGTCTACATTTTAGATGATGATATTCCCGTTTCCAACGAAATCGTTAGAGCTATCCAAATATCCAGTTACAGTTTCTACCAAAAGGGTGTTTGCAAATTGCTGCATCAAAAGAAAGGTTCAACTCTGTTAGTTGAGGACACACATCACAAAGAAGTTTGTGAGAATGCTTCTGTCTAGATTTTGTATGACGATATTCCCTTTTCCAACGATATCGTTAAAGCAATCTAAATATCGATTTGCAGAATCCACAAAAATAGAGTTTCAAAGCTGCTCTGTAAAAAGAAAGGTTCCACTCTGTTAGCTGAGTACACACATCACAAACTTGTTTCTCAGAATCCTTCTTCAATTTTTTATGGGAAGACATTTCCTTTTTCACCGTAGGCGTCAAAGCGCTCCAACTGTCCACATCCAGATAGTACAGAAAGAGTGTTTCAAACCTGCTCTATTAAAGGGAATGTTCAACTCTATGAGTTGAATGCAAACATCACAAAGAAATTTCTGAGAATGCTGCTGTCTACCTTTTATTTGAATTCCCGCTTCCAACGAAATCCTCCAAGCTATCCAAATATCCACCTGCATTTTCCACAAAAAGAGTGTTTCAAAACTGCTCTATCAATAGA
The DNA here is from genome assembly GCF_000001405.40 of Homo sapiens. Lineage (NCBI taxonomy): Eukaryota > Metazoa > Chordata > Mammalia > Primates > Hominidae > Homo > Homo sapiens. The sequence continues at coordinate 17,605,873 of NC_000014.9, read as the reverse complement.
AATGTTCAACTCCTTTGGCTGGGTACACACATCACAAACAAGTTTCTGAGAATGTTTCTGTCTAGTTTTTATGGGAAGACGTTCCCTTTTTCACCAAAGGCATCAAAGCGCTCCAAATGTCCACTTCCAGACACTACAAAAAGAGTGTTTCAAACGTGCTCTAAGAAAGCGAATGTTCAACTCTGTGACTTGAATGCAGATATCACAAAGTAGTTTCTGAGAGGACTTCTGTCTAGATTTTAGATGATGATATTCCCGTTTCCAACGAAATCATTAGAGCTATCCAAATATCCACTTACAGTTTCTACAAAAAGAGTGTTTCCAAACTGCTGCATCAAAAGAGAGGTTCCACTCTGTTAGCTGAGTACACACATCACAAACTTGTTTCTGAGTATCCTTCTGTCTCGTTTTTATGGGAAGAGATTTACTTTCTCACCGTAGGCATCAAAGCGCTCCAAATGTCCACATCCAGATACTACAGAAAGAGTATTTCAAACCTGTCCTATGAAAGGGAATGTTCAACTCTATGAGTTGAATGCAGACATCAGAAAGAAATTTCTGAGAATGCTGCTGTCTACCTTTTATTTGAATTCCCGCTTCCAACGAAATCCTCCAAGCTATCCAAATATTCACTTGCAGATTCCACAAAAAGAGTGTTTCAAAACTGCTCTCTATCAATGGCAAAGTTCAACTCTGTTAGTTGAGGACACATATCACCAACAAGTTTCTGAGAATGCTTCTGTCTATTTTTTATGGGAAGATATTTCCTTTTTCACCGTAGGCGTCAAGGCGATCGAAATGTCCACTTCCACAAACTACAAAAAGAGTGTTTCAAACCTGCTCTATGAAAGGCCATGTTCATCTCTATGAGTCGAATGGAAATATCCGAAAGAAATTTCTGGGAATGCTGCTGTCTAGTGTTTATACGAATTCCCGCTTCCAACGAAATCCTCAAAGCAATCCAAATATCCACTTGCAGAATCCGCAAAAAGAGTGTTTCAAAACTGCTCTATCAATAGAAAGGTTCAACTCTTTTAGTTGAGTACACACATCACGAACAAGTTTCTGAGAATGCTTCTGTCTGGCTTTTATTGGAAGACGTTTCCTTTTCACCAAAGGCATCAAAGCGCTCCAAATGTCCACTTCCAGATTCTTACAAAAGAGTGTTTGAAACGTGCTCAAAGTAAGGGAATGTTCAACTCTGTGACTTGAATGCAGATATCACCCAGTAGTTTCTAATAGTGCTTCTGTGTATACTTTAGATGAAGATATTCCCGTTTCCAACGATATCGTTAGACCTATCCAAATATCCACTTACAGTTTCTACAAAAAGAGTGTTTCCAAACTTCTGCATCAAAAGAAAGGTTCAACTCTGTTAGTTGAGGACAGACATCAGAAAGAAGTTTCTGAGAATGCTTCTGTCTGGATTTTGTATGAAGATATTCCCTTTTCCAACGATGTCGTTAAATCAACCCAAATATCAATTTGCAGAATCCACAGAAATAGAGTTTCAAAGCTGCTCTGTAAAAAGAAAGGATCCACTCTGTTAGCTGAGTACACACATCACAAACTTGTTTCTGAGAATCCTGCTGTCTACCTTTTATTTGAATTCCCGCTTCCAACGAAATCCTCCAAGCTATCCAAATATCCACTTGCAGATTCCACAAAAAGAGTGTTTCAAAACTGCTCTCTATCAATGGCAAAGTTCAACTCTGTTAGTTGAGGACACATATCACCAACAAGTTTCTGAGAATGCTTCTGTCTATTTTTTATGGGAAGATATTTCCTTTTTCACCGTAGGCGTCAAGGCGATCGAAATGTCCACTTCCACAAACTACAAAAAGAGTGTTTCAAACCTGCTCTATGAAAGGCCATGTTCATCTCTATGAGTTGAATGGAAATATCCGAAAGAAATTTCTGGGAATGCTGCTGTCTAGTGTTTATACGAATTCCCGCTTCCAACGAAATCCTCAAAGCAATCCAAATATCCACTTGCAGAATCCACAAAAAGAGTGTTTCAAAACTGCTCTATCAATAGAAAGGTTCAACTCTTTTAGTTGAGTACACACATCACAAACAAGTTTCTGAGAATGTTTCTGTCTGGCTTTTATTGGAAGACGTTTCCTTTTCACCAAAGGCATCAAAGCGCTGCAAATGTCCACTTCCAGATTCTTCCAAAAGAGTGTTTCAAACGTGCTCAAAGTAAGGGAATGTTCAACTCTGTGACTTGAATGCAGATATCACCAAGTAGTTTCTAATAGTGCTTCTGTCTAGATTTTAGATGATGATATTCCCGTTTCCAATGAAATAGTTAGAGCTATCCAAATATCCACTTACAGTTTCTACCAAAAGGGTGTTTCCAAACTGCTGCATCAAAAGAAAGGTTCAACTCTGTTAGTTGAGGACACACATCACAAAGAAGTTTGTGAGAATGCTTCTATCTAGATTTTGTATGACCATATTCCCTTTTCCAGCGATAACATTAAATCAATCTAAATATCCATTTGCAGAATCCACAAAAATAGAGTTTCAAAGCTGCTCTGTAAAAAGAAAGGTTCCACTCTGTTAGCTGAGTACACACATCACAAACTTGTTTCTCAGAATCCTTCTGTCTCGTTTTTCTGGGAAGATATTTACTTTTTCACCGTAGGCATCAAAGCGCTCCAAATGTCCACATCCAGATACTCCAGAAAGAGTGTTTCAAACCTGCTGCTATGAAAGGGAATCTTCAACTCTATGAGTTGAATGCAGACATCAGAAAGAAATTTCTGAGAATGCTGCTGTCTACCTTTTATTTGAATTCCCGCTTCCAACGAAATCCTCCAAGCTATCCAAATATCCACTTGCATTTTCCACAAAAAGAGTGTTTCAAAACTGCTCTATCAATGGAAATGTTCAACTCCTTTAGCTGGGTACACACATCACAAACAAGTTTCTGAGAATGCTTCTGTCTAGTTTTTATGGGAAGACATTCCCTTTTTCACCAAAGGCATCAAAGCGCTCCAAATGTCCACTTCCAAACACTACAAAAAGAGTGTTTCCAACGTGCTCTAAGAAAGCGAATGTTCAACTCTGTGACTTGAATGCAGATATCACAAAGTAGTTTCTGAGAGGGCTTCTGTCTAGATTTTAGATGATGATATTCCCGTTTCCAACGAAATCATTAGAGCTATCCAAATATCCACTTACAGTTTCTACAAAACGAGTGTTTCCAAACTGCTGCTTCAAAAGAGAGGTTCCACTCTGTTAGCTGAGTACACACATCACAAACTTCTTTCTGAGAATCCTTCTGTCTCGTTTTTATGGGAAGATTATACTTTTTCACCGTAGGCATCAAAGCGCTCCAAATGTCCACATCCAGATACTCCAGAAAGAGTGTTTCAAACCTGCTCTATGAAAGGGAATGTTCAACTCTATGAGTTGAATGCAGACATCAGAAAGAAATTTCTGAGAATGCTGCTGTCTACCTTTTATTTGAATTCCCGCTTCCAACGAAATCCTCCAAGCTATCCAAATATCCACTTGCAGATTCCACAAAAAGAGTGTTTCAAAACTGCTCTCTATCAATGGCAAAGTTCAACTCTGTTAGTTGAGGACACATATCACCAACAAGTTTCTGAGAATGCTTCTGTCTATTTTTTATGGGAAGATATTTCCTTTTTCACCGTAGGCGTCAAGGCGATCGAAATGTCCACTTCCACAAACTACAAAAAGAGTGTTTCAAACCTGCTCTATGAAAGGCCATGTTCATCTCTATGAGTTGAATGGAAATATCCGAAAGAAATTTCTGGGAATGCTGCTGTCTAGTTTTTATACGAATTCCCGCTTCCAACGAAATCCTCAAAGCAATCCAAATATCCACTTGCAGAATCCACAAAAAGAGTGTTTCAAAACTGCTCTATCAATAGAAAGGTTCAACTCTTTTAGTTGAGTACACACACCACAAACAAGTTTCTGAGAATGCTTCTGTCTGGCTTTTATTGGAAGACGTTTCCTTTTCACCAAAGGCATCAAAGCGCTCCAAATGTCCACTTCCAGATTCTTCCAAAAGAGTGTTTCAAACGTGCTCAAAGTAAGGGAATGTTCAACTCTGTGACTTGAATGCAGATATCACCAAGTAGTTTCTAATAGTGCTTCTGTCTAGATTTTAGATGATGATATTCCCGTTTCCAACGAAATCTTTAGAGCTATCCAAATATCCAGTTACAGTTTCTACCAAAAGGGTGTTTCCAAATTGCTGCATCAAAAGAAAGGTTCAACTCTGTTAGTTGAGGACACACATCACAAAGAAGTTTGTGAGAATGCTTCTTTCTAGATTTTGTATGACGATATTCCCTTTTCCAACGATATCGTTAAAGCAATCTAAATATCAATTTGCAGAATCCACAAAAATAGAGTTTCAAAGCTGCTCTGTAAAAAGAAAGGTTCCACTCTGTTAGCTGAGTACACACATCACAAACTTGTTTCTGAGAATCCTTCTGTCTCGTTTTTATGGGAACATATTTAGTTTTTCACCGTAGGCATCAAAGCGGTCCAAATGGCCACTTCCAGATACTCCAGAAAGAGTGTTTCAAACCTGCTCTATGAAAGGGAATCTTCAACTCTATGAGTTGAATGCAGACATCAGAAAGAAATTTCTGAGAATGCTGCTGTCTACCTTTTATTTGAATTCCCGCTTCCAACGAAATCCTCCAAGCTATCCAAATATCCACTTGCAGTTTCCACAAAAAGAGTGTATCAAAACTGCTCTATCAATAGAAATGTTCAACTCCTTTAGCTGGGTACACACATCACAAACAAGTTTCTGAGAATGCTTCTGTCTAGTTTTTATGGGAAGACGTTCCCTTTTTCACCAAAGCCATCAAAGCGCTCCAAATGTCCACTTCCAGACACTACAAAAAGAGTGTTTCAAACGTGCTCTAAGAAAGCGAATGTTCAACTCTGTGACTTGAATGCAGATATCACAAAGTAGTTTCTGAGAGTGCTTCTGTCTAGATTTTAGATGATGATATTCCCGTTTCCAACGAAATCATTAGAGCTATCCAAATATCCACTTACAGTTTCTACAAAAAGAGTGTTTCCAAACTGCTGCATCAAAAGAGAGGTTCCACTCTGTTATCTGAGTACACACATCACAAACTTGTTTCTCAGAATCCTTCTGTCTCGTTTTTATGGGAAGATATTTACTTTTCCACCGTAGGCATCAAAGCGCTCCAAATGTCCACATCCAGATACTCCAGAAAGAGTGTTTCAAACCTGCTCTATGAAAGGGAATCTTCAACTCTATGAGTTGAATGCAGACATCAGAAAGAAATTTCTGAGAATGCTGCTGTCTACCTTTTATTTGAATTCCCGCTTCCAACGAAATCCTCCAAGCTATCCAAATATCCACTTGCAGATTCCACAAAAAGAGTGTTTCAAAACTGCTCTCTATCAATGGCAAAGTTCAACTCTGTTAGTTGAGGACACATATCACCAACAAGTTTCTGAGAATGCTTCTGTCTATTTTTTATGGGAAGATATTTCCTTTATCACCGTAGGCGTCAAGGCGATCGAAATGTCCACTTCCACAAACTACAAAAAGAGTGTTTCAAACCTGCTCTATGAAAGGCCATGTTCATCTCTATGAGTTGAATGGAAATATCCGAAAGAAATTTCTGGGAATGCTGCTGTCTAGTGTTTATACGAATTCCCGCTTCCAACGAAATCCTCAAAGCAATCCAAATATCCACTTGCAGAATCCACAAAAAGAGTGTTTCAAAACTGCTCTATCAATAGAAAGGTTCAACTCTTTTAGTTGAGTACACACATCACGAACAAGTTTCTGAGAATGCTTCTGTCTGGCTTTTATTGGAAGACGTTTCCTTTTCACCAAAGGCATCAAAGCGCTCCAAATGTCCACTTCCAGATTCTTCCAAAAGAGTGTTTCAAACGTGCTCGAAGTAAGGGAATGTTCTACTCTGTGACTTGAATGCAGATATCACCAAGTAGTTTCTAATAGTGCTTCTGTCTAGATTTTAGATGATGATATTCCCGTTTACAACGAAATCGTTAGAGCTATCCAAATATCCAGTTACAGTTTCTACCAAAAGGCTGTTTCCAAATTGCTGCATCAAAAGAAAGGTTCAACTCTGTTAGTTGAGGACACACATCACAAAGAAGTTTGTGAGAATGCTTCTGTCTAGATTTTGTATGACGATATTCCCTTTTCCAACGATATCGTTAAAGCAATCTAAATATCAATTTGCAGAATCCACAGAAATAGAGTTTCAAAGCTGCTCTGTAAAAAGAAAGGTTCCACTCTGTTAGCTGAGTACACACATCACAAACTTGTTTCTCAGAATCCTTCTGTCTCGTTTTTATGGGAAGATATTTACTTTTCCACCGTAGGCATCAAAGCGCTCCAAATGTCCACATCCAGATACTCCAGAACGAGTGTTTCAAACCTGCTCTATGAAAGGGAATCTTCAACTCTATGAATTGAATGCAGACATCAGAAAGAAATTTCTGAGAATGCTGCTGTCTACCTTTTATTTGAATTCCCGCTTCCAACGAAATCCCCCAAGCAATCCAAATATCCACTTGCATTTTCCACAAAAAGAGTGTTTCAAAACTGCTCTATCAATAGAAATGTTCAACTCCTTTAGCTGGGTACACACATCACAAACAAGTTTCTGAGAATGCTTCTGTCTAGTTTTTATGGGTAGACATTCCCTTTTTCACCAAAGGAATCAAAGCGCTCCAAATGTCCACTTCCAGACACTACAAAAAGAGTCTTTCAAACGTGCTCTAAGAAAGGGAATGTTCAACTCTGTGACTTGAATGCAGATATCACAAAGTAGTTTCTGAGAGTGCTTCTGTCTAGATTTTAGATGATGATATTCCCGTTTCCAATGAAATCATTAGAGCTATCCAAATATCCACATACAGTTTCTACAAAAAGAGTGTTTCCAAACTGCTGCATCAAAAGAGAGGTTCCACTCTGTTAGCTGAGTACACACATCACAAACTTGTTTCTTAGAATCCTTCTGTCTCGTTTTTATGGGAAGATATTTACTTTCTCACCGTAGGCATCAAAGCGCTCCAAATGTCCACATCCAGATACTCCAGAAAGAGTGTTTCAAACCTGCTCTATGAAAGGGAATCTTCAACTCTATGACTTGAATGCAGACATCAGAAAGAAATTTCTGAGAATGCTGCTGTCTACCTTTTATTTGAATTCCCGCTTCCAACGAAATCCTCCAAGGTATCCAAATATCCACTTGCAGATTCCACAAAAAGAGTGTTTCAAAACTGCTCTCTATCAATGGCAAAGTTCAACTCTGTTAGTTGAGGACACATATCACCAACAAGTTTCTGAGAATGCTTCTGTCTATTTTTTATGGGAAGATATTTCCTTTTTCACCGTAGGCGTCAAGGCGATCGAAATGTCCACTTCCACAAACTACAAAAAGAGTGTTTCAAACCTGCTCTATGAAAGGCCATGTTCATCTCTATGAGTCGAATGGAAATATCCGAAAGAAATTTCTGGGAATGCTGCTGTCTAGTGTTTATACGAATTCCCGCTTCCAACGAAATCCTCAAAGCAATCCAAATATCCACTTGCAGAATCCACAAAAAGAGTGTTTCAAAACTGCTCTATCAATAGAAAGGTTCAACTCTTTTAGTTGAGTACACACATCACGAATAAGTTTCTGAGAATGCTTCTGTCTGGCTTTTATTGGAAGACGTTTCCTTTTCACCAAAGGCATCAAAGCGCTCCAAATGTCCACTTCCAGATTCTTCCAAAAGAGTGTTTCAAACGTGCTGAAAGTAAGGGAATGTTCAACTCTTTGACTTGAATGCAGATATCACCAAGTAGTTTCTAATAGTGCTTCTGTCTAGATTTTAGATGATGATATTCCCGTTTCCAACGAAATCGTTAGAGCTATCCAAATATCCACTTACAGTTTCTACCAAAAGGGTGTTTCCAAACTGCTGCATCAAAAGAAAGCTTCAACTCTGTTAGTTGAGGACACACATCACAAAGAAGTTTGTGAGAATGCTTCTGTCTAGATTTTGTATGACCATATTCCCTTTTCCAGCGATATCATTAAAGCAATCTAAATATCCATTTGCAGAATCCACAAAAATAGAGTTTCAAAGCTGCTCTGTAAAAAGAAAGGTTCCACTCTGTTAGCTGAGTACACACATCACAAACTTGTTTCTGAGAATCCTTCTGTCTCGTTTTTATGGGAAGATATTTACTTTTTCACCGTAGGCATCAAAGCGCTCCAAATGTCCACATCCAGATACTCCAGAAAGAGTGTTTCAAATCTGCTCTATGAAAGGGAATCTTCAACTCTATGAGTTGAATGCAGACATCAGAAAGAAATTTCTGAGAATGCTGCTGTCTACCTTTTATTTGAATTCCCGCTTCCAACGAAATCCTCCAAGCTCTCCAAATATCCACTTGCATTTTCCACAAAAAGAGTGTTTCAAAACTGCTCTATCAATAGAAATGTTCAACTCCTTTAGCTGGGTACACACATCACAAACAAGTTTCTGAGAATGCTTCTGTCTAGTTTTTATGGGAAGACATTCCCTTTTTCACCAAAGGCATCAAAGCGCTCCAAATGTCCACTTCCAGACACTACAAAAAGAGTGTTTCCAACGTGCTCTAAGAAAGCGAATGTTCAACTCTGTGACTTGAATGCAGATATCACAAAGTAGTTTCTGAGAGGGCATCTCTCTAGATTTTAGATGATGATATTCCCGTTTCCAACGAAATCATTAGAGCTATCCAAATATCCACTTACAGTTTCTACAAAAAGAGTGTTTCCAAACTACTGCATCAAAAGAGAGGTTCCACTCTGTTAGCTGAGTACACACATCACAAACTTGTTTCTCAGAATCCTTCTGTGTCGTTTTTATGGGAAGATATTTACTTTTTCACCGTAGGCATCAAAGCGCTCCAAATGTCCACATCCAGATACTCCAGAAAGAGTGTTTCAAACCTGCTCTATGAAAGGGAATCTTCAACTCTATGAGTTGAATGCAGACATCAGAAAGAAATTTCTGAGAATGCTGCTGTCTACCTTTCATTTGAATTCCCGCTTCCAACGAAATCCTCCAAGCTATCCAAATATTCACTTGCAGATTCCACAAAAAGAGTGTTTCAAAACTACTCTATCAATAGAAAGGTACAACTCTGTCAGTTGAGGACACACATCACAAACAAGTTTCTGAGAATTCTTCTGTCTATTTTTTATGGGAAGATATTTCCTTTTTCACCGTAGGCGTCAAGGCGATCGAAATGTCCACTTCCACAAACTACAGAAAGAGTGTTTCAAACCTGCTCTATGAAAGGCCATGTTCATCTCTATGAGTTGAATGGAAATATCCGAAAGAAATTTCTGGGAATGCTGCTGTCTAGTGTTTATACGAATTCCCGCTTCCAACGAAATCCTCAAAGCAATCCAAATATCCACTTGCAGAATCCACAAAAAGAGTGTTTCAAAACTGCTCTATCAATAGAAAGGTTCAACTCTTTTAGTTGAGTACACACATCACGGACAAGTTTCTCAGAATGCTTCTGTCTGGCTTTTATTGGAAGACGTTTCCTTTTCACCAAAGGCATCAAAGCGCTCCAAATGTCCACTTCCAGATTCTTCCAAAAGAGTGTTTCAAACGTGCTCAAAGTAAGGGAATGTTCAACTCTTTGACTTGAATGCAGATATCACCAAGTAGTTTCTAATAGTGCTTCTGTCTAGATTTTAGATGATGATATTCCCGTTTCCAACGAAATCGCTAGAGCTATCCAAATATCCAGTTACAGTTTCTACCAAAAGGGTGTTTCCAAATTGCTGCATCAAAAGAAAGGTTCAACTCTGTTAGTTGAGGACACACATCACAAAGAAGTTTGTGAGAATGCTTCTGTCTAGATTTTGTATGAAGATATTCCCTTTTCCAACGATATCGTTAAATCAACCCAAATATCAATTTGCAGAATCCACAGAAATAGAGTTTCAAAGCTGCTCTGTAAAAAGAAAGGATCCACTCTGTTAGCTGAGTACACACATCACAAACTTGTTTCTGAGAATCCTTCTGTCTCGTTTTTATGGGAAGATATTTACTTTTCCACCGTAGGCATCAAAGCGCTCCAAATGTCCACATCCAGATACTCCAGAACGAGTGTTTCAAACCTGCTCTATGAACGGGAATCTTCAACTCTATGAGTTGAATGCAGACATCAGAAAGAAATTTCTGAGAATGCTGCTGTCTATCTTTTATTTGAATTCCCGCTTCCAATGAAAACCTCCAAGCTATCCAAATATCCACTTGCAGATTCCACAAAAAGAGTGTTTCAAAACTGCTCTATCAATAGAAATATTCAACTCCTTTCGCTGGGTACACACATCACAAACAAGTTTCTGAGAATGCTTCTGTCTAGCTTTTATGGGAAGACATTTCCTTTTTCACCAAAGGCATCAAAGAGCTCCAAATGTCCACTTCCAGATACTACAAAAAGAGTGTTTCAAAAGTGCTCTAAGAAAGCGAATGTTCAACTCTGTGACTTGAATGCAGATATCACAAAGTAGTTTCTGAGAGTGCTTCAGTCTAGATTTTAGATGATGATATTCCCGTTTCCAATGAAATCATTAGAGCTTTCCAAATATCCACTTACAGTTTCTACAAAAAGAGTGTTTCCAAACTGCTGCATCAAAAGAGAGGTTCCACTCTGTTAGCTGAGTACACACATCACAAACTTGTTTCTGAGAATCCTTCTGTCTCGTTTTTATGGGAAGATATTTACTTTTGCACCGTAGGCATCAAAGCGCTCCAAATGTCCACATCCAGATACTCCAGAACGAGTGTTTCAAACCTGCTCTATGAAAGGGAATCTTCAACTCTATGAGTTGAATGCAGACATCAGAAAGAAATTTCTGAGAATGCTGCTGTCTACCTTTTATTTGAATTCCCGCTTCCAACGAAATCCTCCAAGCTATCCAAATATCCACTTGCAGATTCCACAAAAAGACTGTTTCAAAACTGCTCTCTATCAATGGCAAAGTTCAACTCTGTTAGTTGAGGACACATATCACCAACAAGTTTCTGAGAATGCTTCTGTCTATTTTTTATGGGAAGATATTTCCTTTTTCACCGTAGGCATCAAGGCGATTGAAATGTCCACTTCCACAAACTACAAAAAGAGTGTTTCAAACCTGCTGTATGAAAGGCCATGTTCACCTCTATGAGTTGAATGGAAATATCCGAAAGAAATTTCTGGGAATGCTGCTGTCTAGTGTTTATACGAATTCCCGCTTCCAACGAAATCCTCAAAGCAATCCAAATATCCACTTGCAGAATCCACAAAAAGAGTGTTTCAAAACTGCTCTATCAATAGAAAGGTTCAACTCTTTTAGTTGAGTACACACATCACGAACAAGCTTCTGAGAAGGCTTCTGTCTGGCTTTTATTGGAAGACGTTTCCTTTTCACCAAAGGCATCAAAGCGTTCCAAATGTCCACTTCCAGATTCTTCCAAAAGAGTGTTTCAAACGTGCTCAAAGTAAGGGAATGTTCAACTCTTTGACTTGAATGCAGATATCACCAAGTAGTTTCTAGATCTGTCTACATTTTAGATGATGATATTCCCGTTTCCAACGAAATCGTTAGAGCTATCCAAATATCCAGTTACAGTTTCTACCAAAAGGGTGTTTCCAAATTGCTGCATCAAAAGAAAGGTTCAACTACTGTTAGTTGAGGACACACATCACAAAGAAGTTTGTGAGAATGCTTCTGTCTAGATTTTGTATGAGGATATTCCCTTTTCCAACGATATCGTTAAAGCAATCTAAATATCAATTTGCAGAATCCACAAAAATAGAGTTTGAAAGCTGCTCTGTAAAAAGAAAGGTTCCACTCTGTTAGCTGAGTACACACATCACAAACTTGTTTCTCAGAATCCTGCTGTCTACCTTTTATTTGAATTCCCGCTTCCAACGAAATCCTCCAAGCTATCCAAATATCCTCCTGCATTTTCCACAACAAGAGTGTTTCAAAACTGCTCTATCAATAGAAATGTTCAACTCCTTTGGCTGGGTACACACATCACAAACAAGTTTCCTGAGAATGCTTCTGTCTAGTTTTTATGGGAAGACATTTCCTTTTTCACCAAAGGCATCAAAGAGCTCCAAATGTCCACTTCTAGATACTACAAAAAGAGTGTTTCAAAAGTGCTCTAAGAAAGCGAATGTTCAACTCTGTGACTTGAATGCAGATATCAACAAGTAGTTTCTGAGAGTGCTTCTGTCTAGATTTTAGATGATGATATTCCCGTTTCCAACGAAATCATTAGAGCTATCCAAATAAACACTTACAGTTTCTACAAAAAGAGTGTTTCCAAACTGCTGCATCAAAAGAGAGGTTCCACTCTGTTAGCTGAGTACACACATCACAAACTTGTTTCTCAGAATCCTTCTGTCTCGTTTTTATGGGAAGATATTTACTTTCTCACCGTAGGCATCAAAGCGCTCCAAATGTCCACATCCAGATACTCCAGAAAGAGTGTTTCAAACCTGCTCTATGAAAGGGAATCTTCAACTCTATGAGTTGAATGCAGACATCAGAAAGAAATTTCTGAGAATGCTGCTGTCTACCTTTTATTTGAATTCCCGCTTCCAACGAAATCCTCCAAGCTATCCAAATATCCACTTGCAGATTCCACAAAAAGAGTGTTTCAAAACTGCTCTCTATCAATGGCAAAGTTCAATTCTGTTAGTTGAGGACACATATCACCAACAAGTTTCTGAGAATGCTTCTGTCTATTTTTTATGGGAAGATATTTCCTTTTTCACCGCAGGCGTCAAGGTGATCGAAATGTCTACTTCCACAAACTACAAAAAGAGTGTTTCAATATGAAAGGCCATGTTCATCTCTATGAGTTGAATGGAAATATCCGAAAGAAATTTCTGGGAATGCTGCTGTCTAGTGTTTATACGAATTCCCGCTTCCAACGAAATCCTCAAAGCAATCCAAATATCCACTTGCAGAATCCACAAAAAGAGTGTTTCAAAACTGCTCTATCAATAGAAAGGTTCAACTCTTTTAGTTGAGTACACACATCACGAACAAGTTTCTGAGAATGCTTCTGTCTGGCTTTTATTGGAAGACGTTTCCTTTTCACCAAAGGCATCAAAGCGCTCCAAATGTCCACTTCCAGATTCTTCCAAAAGAGTGTTTCAAACGTGCTCAAAGTAAGCGAATGTTCAACTCTGTGACTTGAATGCAGATATCACCAAGTAGTTTCTAATAGTGCTTCTGTCTATATTTTAGATGATGATATTCCCGTTTCCAACGAAATCGTTAGAGCTATCCAAATATCCAGTTACAGTTTCTACCAAAAGGGTGTTTCCAAATTGCTGCATCAAAAGAAAGGTTCAACTCTGTTAGTTGAGGACACACATCACAAAGAAGTTTGTGAGAATGCTTCTGTCTAGATTTTGTATGACGATATTCCGTTTTCCAACGATATCGTTAAAGCAATCTAAATATCAATTTGCAGAATCCACAAAAATAGAGTTTCAAAGCTGCTCTGTAAAAAGAAAGGTTCCACTCTGTTAGCTGAGTACACACATCACAAACTTGTTTCTGAGAATCCTTCTGTCTCGTTTTTATGGGAAGATATTTACTTTTCCACCGTAGGCATCAAAGCGCTCCAAATGTCCACATCCAGATACTCCAGAACGAGTGTTTCAAACCTGCTCTATGAAAGGGAATCTTCAACTGTATGAGTTGAATGCAGACATCAGAAAGAAATTTCTGAGAATGCTTGCTGTCTACCTTTTATTTGAATTCCCGCTTCCAACGAAAACCTACAAGCTATCCAAATATCCACTTGCAGATTCCACAAAAAGAGTGTTTCAAAACTGCTCTATCAATAGAAATGTTCAACTCCTTTCGCTGGGTACACACATCACAAACAAGTTTCTGAGAAAGCTTCTGTCTAGTTTTTATGGGAAGATATTCCCTTTTTCACCAAAGGCATCAAAGCGCTCCAAATTTCCACTTCCAGACACTACAAAAAGAGTGTTTCAAACGTGCTCTAAGAAAGCGAATGTTCAACTCTGTGACTTGAATGCAGATATCACAAAGTAGTTTTTGAGAGGGCTTCTGTCTAGATTTTAGATGATGATATTCCCGTTTCCAACGAAATCATTAGAGCTATCCAAATATCCACTTACAGTTTCTACAAAAAGAGTGTTTCCACACTGCTGCATCAAAAGAGAGGTTCCACTCTGTTAGCTGAGTACACACATCACAAACTTGTTTCTCAGAATCCTTCTGTCTCGTTTTTATGGGAAGATATTTACTTTTTCACCGTAGGCATCAAAGCGCTCCAAATGTCCACATCCAGATACTCCAGAAAGAGTGTTTCAAACCTGCTCTATGAAAGGGAATGTTCAACTCTATGAGTTGAATGCGGACATCAGAAAGAAATTTCTGAGAATGCTGCTGTCTACCTTTAATTTGAATTCCCGCTTCCAACGACATCCTCCAAGCTATCCAAATATCCACTTGCAGATTCCACAAAAAGAGTGTTTCAAAACTGCTCTCTATCAATGGCAAAGTTCAACTCTGTTAGTTGAGGACACATATCACCAACAAGTTTCTGAGAATGCTTCTGTCTATTTTTTATGGGAAGATATTTCCTTTTTCACCGTAGGCGTCAAGGCGATCGAAATGTCCACTTCCACAAACTACAAAAAGAGTGTTTCAAACCTGCTCTATGAAAGGCCATGTTCATCTCTATGAGTTGAATGGAAATATCCGAAAGAAATTTCTGGGAATGCTGCTGTCTAGTGTTTATACGAATTCCCGCTTCCAACGAAATCCTCAAAGCAATCCAAATATCCACTTGCAGAATCCACAAAAAGAGCGTTTCAAAACTGCTCTATCAATAGAAAGGTTCAACTCTTTTAGTTGAGTACACACATCACGAACAAGTTTCTGAGAATGCTTCTGTCTGGCTTTTATTGGAAGACGTTTCCTTTTCACCAAAGGCATCAAAGGGCTCCAAATGTCCACTTCCAGATTCTTCCAAAAGAGTGTTTCAAACGTGCTCGAAGTAAGGGAATGTTCAACTCTGTGACTTGAATGCAGATATCACCAAGTAGTTTCTAATAGTGCTTCTGTCTAGATTTTAGATGATGATATTCCCGTTTCCAACGAAATCGTTAGAGCTATCCAAATATCCAGTTACAGTTTCTACCAAAAGGGTGATTCCAAACTGCTGCATCAAAAGAAAGGTTCAACTCTGTTAGTTGAGGACACACATCACAAAGAAGTTTGTGAGAATGCTTCTGTCTAGATTTTGTATGACCATATTCCCTTTTCCAGCGATATCGTTAAAGCAATCTAAATATCCATTTGCAGAATCCACAAAAATAGAGTTTCAAAGCTGCTCTGTAAAAAGAGAGGTTCCACTCTGTTAGCTGAGTACACACATCACAAACTTGTTTCTCAGAATCCTGCTGTCTAACTTTTATTTGAAATTCCCGCTTCCAACGAAATCCTCCAAGCTATCCAAATATCCACCTGCATTTTCCACAAAAAGAGTGTTTCAAAACTGCTCTATCAATAGAAATGTTCAACTCCTTTGGCTGGGTACACACATCACAAACAAGTTTCTGAGAATGCTTCTGTCTAGTTTTTATGGGAAGACATTCCCTGTTTCACCAAAGGCATCAAAGCGCTCCAAATGTCCACTTCCAGACACTACAAAAAGAGTGTTTCAAACGTGCTCTAAGAAAGCGAATGTTCAACTCTCTGACTTGAATGCAGATATCACAAAGTAGTTTCTGAGAGGGCTTCTGTCTAGATTTTAGATGATGATATTCCCGTTTCCAACGAAATCATTAGAGCTATCCAAATATCCACTTACGGTTTCTACAAAAAGAGTGTTTCCAAACTGCTGCATCAAAAGAGAGGTTCCACTCTGTTAGCTGAGTACACACATCACAAACTTATTTCTCAGAATCCTTCTTCAATTTTTTATGGGAAGACATTTCCTTTTTCACCGTAGGCGTCAAAGCGCTCCAATTATCCACATCCAGATACTACAGAAAGAGTGTTTCAAACCTGCTCTATTAAAGGGAATGTTCAACTCTATGAGTTGAATGCAAACATCAGAAAGAAATTTCTGAGAATGCTGCTGTCTACCTTTTATTTGAATTCCCGCTTCCAACGAAAACCTACAAGCTATCCAAATATCCACTTGCAGATTCCACAAAAAGAGTGTTTCAAAAATGCTCTATCAATAGAAATGTTCAACTCCTTTCGCTGGGTACACACATCACAAACAAGTTTCTGAGAAAGCTTCTGTCTAGTTTTTATGGGAAGACATCTCCTTTTTCACCAAAGGCATCAAAGAGCTCCAAATGTCCACTTCCAGATACGACAAAAAGAGTGTTTCAAAAGTGCTCTAAGAAAGCGAATGTTCAACTCTGTGACTTGAATGCAGATATCACAAAGTAGTTTCTGAGAGTGCTTCTGTCTAGATTTTAGATGATGATATTCCCGTTTCCAACGAAATCATTAGAGCTATCCAAATATCCACTTACAGTTTCTACAAAAAGAGTGTTTCCAAACTGCTGCTTCAAAAGAGAGGTTCCACTCTGTTAGCTGAGTACACACATCACAAACTTGTTTCTGAGAATCCTTCTGTCTCGTTTTTATGGGAAGATATTTACTTTTTCACCGTAGGCATCCAAGCGCTCCAAATGTCCACATCCAGATACTCCAGAAAGAGTGTTTCAAACCTGCTCTAGGAAAGGGAATCTTCAACTCTATGAGTTGAATGCAGACATCAGAAAGAAATTTCTGAGAATGCTGCTGTCTACCTTTTATTTGAATTCCTGCTTCCAACGAAAACCTCCAAGCTATCCAAATATCCACTTGCAGATTCCACAAAAAGAGTGTTTCAAAACTGCTCTATCAATAGAAATGTTCAACTCCTTTCGCTGGGTACACACATCACAAACAAGTTTCTGAGAATGCTTCTGCCTAGTTTTTATGGGAAGACATTTCCTTTTTCACCAAAGGCATCAAAGAGCTCCAAATGTCCACTTCCAGATACTACAAAAAGAGTGTTTCAAAAGTGCTCTAAGAAAGCGAATGTTCAACTCTGTGACTTGAATGCAGATATCACAAAGTAGTTTCTGAGAGTGCTTCTGTCTAGATTTTAGATGATGATATTCCCTTTTCCAACGAAATCATTAGAGCTATCCAAATATCCACTTACAGTTTCTACAAAAAGAGTGTTTCCAAACTGCTGAATCAAAACAGAGGTTCCACTCTGTTAGCTGAGTACACACATCACAAACTTGTTTCTCAGAATCCTTGCTGTCTACCTTTAATTTGAATTCCCGCTTCCAACGAAATCCTCCAAGCTATCCAAATATCCACTTGCAGATTCCACAAAAAGAGTGTTTCAAAACTGCTCTCTATCAATGGCAAAGTTCAACTCTGTTAGTTGAGGACACATATCACCAACAAGTTTCTGAGAATGCTTCTGTCTATTTTTTATGGGAAGATATTTCCTTTTTCACCGTTGGCGTCAAGGCGATCGAAATGTCCACTTCCACAAACTACAAAAAGAGTGTTTCAAACCTGCTCTATGAAAGGCCATGTTCATCTCTATGAGTTGAATGGAAATATCCGAAAGAAATTTCTGGGAATGCTGCTGTCCAGTTTTTATACGAATTCCCGCTTCCAACGAAATCCTCAATGCAATCCAAATATCCACTTGCAGAATCCACAAAAAGAGTGTTTCAAAACTGCTCTATCAATAGAAAGGTTCAAATCTTTTAGTTGAGTACACACATCACGAACAAGTTTCTGAGAATGCTTCTGTCTGGCTTTTATTGGAAGACGATTCCTTTTCACCAAAGGCATCATCAAAGCGCTCCAAATGTCCACTTCCAGATTCTTCCAAAAGAGTGTTTGAAACGTGCTCAAAGTAAGGGAATGTTCAACTCTGTGACTTGAATGCAGATATCACCAAGTAGTTTCTAATAGTGCTTCTGTCTAGATTTTAGATGATGATATTCCCGTTTCCAACGAAATCGTTAGAGCTATCCAAATATCCAGTTACAGTTCCTACCAAAAGGGTGTTTCCAAACTGCTGCATCAAAAGAAAGGTTCAACTCTATTAGTTGAGGACACACATCACAAAGAAGTTTGTGAGAATGCTTCTGTCTAGATTTTGTATGACGATATTCCCTTTTCCAACGATATCGTTAAAGCAATCTAAATATCCATTTGCAGAATCCACAAAAATAGAGTTTCAAAGCTGCTCTGTAAAAAGAAAGGTTCCACTCTGTTAGCTGAGTACACACATCACATACTTGTTTCTCAGAATCCTTCTTCAATTTTTTATGGGAAGACATTTCCTTTTTCACCGTAGGCGTCAAAGCGCTCCAAATGTCCACATCCACATAGTACAGAAAGAGTGTTTCAAACCTGCTCTATTAAAGGGAATGTTCAACTCTATGAGTTGAATGCAAACATCACAAAGAAATTTCTGAGAATGCTGCTGTCTACCTTTTATTTGAATTCCCGCTTCCAAAGAAATCCTCCAAGCTATCCAAATATCCACTTGCAGATTCCACAAAAAGAGTGTTTCAAAACTGCTCTCTATCAATGGCAAAGTTCAACTCTGTTAGTTGAGGACACATATCACCAACAAGTTTCTGAGAATGCTTCTGTCTATTTTTTATGGGAAGATATTTCCTTTTTCACCGTAGGCGTCAAGGCGATCAAAATGTCCACTTCCACAAACTACCAAAAGAGTGTTTCAAACCTGCTCTATGAAAGGCCATGTTCATCTCTATGAGTTGAATGGAAATATCCGAAAGAAATTTCTGGGAATGCTGCTGTCTAGTTTTTATACGAATTCCCGCTTCCACGAAATCCTCAAAGCAATCCAAATATCCACTTGCAGAATCCACAAAAAGAGTGTTTCAAAACTGCTCTATCAATAGAAAGGTTCAACTCTTTTAGTTGAGTACACACATCACAAACAAGTTTCTGAGAATGCTTCTGTCTGGCTTTTATTGGAAGACGTTTCCTTTTCACCAAAGGCATCAAAGCGCTCCAAATGTCCACTTCCAGATTCTTCCAAAAGAGTGTTTCAAACGTGCTCAAAGTAAGGGAATGTTCAACTCTGTGACTTGAATGCAGATATCACCAAGCAGTGTCTAATAGTGCTTCTGTGTATACTTTAGATGAAGATATTCCCGTTTCCAACGATATCGTTAGACCTACCCAAATATCCACTTACAGTTTCTACAGAAAGTGTGTTTCCAAACTAGTGCATCAAAAGAAAGGTTCAACTCTGTTAGTTGAGGACACACATCACAAAGAAGTTTCTGAGAAAGCTTCTGTCTGTATTTTGTATGAAGATATTCCCTTTTCCAACGATGTCGTTAAATCAACCCAAATATCAATTTGCAGAATCCACAGAAATAGAGTTTCAAAGCTGCTCTGTAAAAAGAAAGGATCCACTCTGTTAGCTGAGTACACACATCACAAACTTGTTTCTGAGAATCCTTCTGTCTAGTTTTTATGGGAAGATATTTACTTTTTCACCGTAGGTATCAAAGCGCTCCAAATGTCCACATCCAGATACTACAGAAAGAGGGTTTCAAACCTGCTCTATGAAAGGGAATCCTCAACTCTATGAGTTGAATGCAGACATCAGAAAGTAATTTCTGAGAATGCTGCTGTCTACCTTTCATTTGAATTCCCGCTTCCAACGAAATCCTCCAAGCTATCCAAATATTCACTTGCAGATTCCACAAAAAGAGTGTTTCAGAACTACTCTATCAATAGAAAGGTACAACTCTGTCAGTTGAGGACACACATCACAAACAAGTTTCTGAGAATTCTGTCTAGTTTTTATGGGAAGACATTCACTTTTTCACCAAAGGCATCAAAGCGCTCCAAATGTCCACTTCCAGACACTACAAAAAGAGTGTTTCAAACGTGCTCTAAGAAAGCGAATGTTCAACTCTGTGACTTGAATGCAGATATCACAAAGTAGTTTATGAGAGGGCTTCTGTCTAGATTTTAGATGATGATATTCCCGTTTCCAACGAAATCATTAGAGCTATCCAAATATCCACTTACAGTTTCTACAAAAAGAGTGTTTCCAAACTGCTGCATCAAAAGAGAGGTTCCACTCTGTTAGCTGAGTACACACATCACAAGCTTGTTTCTCAGAATCCTTCTGTCTAGCTTTTATGGGAAGATATTTACTTTTTCACCGTAGGCATCAAAGCGTTCCAAATGTCCACATCCAGATAGTACAGAAAGATTGTTTCAAACCTGCTCTATGAAAGGGAATGTTCAACTCTATGAGTTGAATGCAAACATCACAAAGAAATTTCTGAGAATGCTGCTGTCTACCTTTTATTTGAATTCCCGCTTCCAACGAAATCCTCCAAGCTATCCAAATATCAACTTGCAGATTCCACAAAAAGAGTGTTTCAAAACTGCTCTCTATCAATGGCAAAGTTCAACTCTGTTAGTTGAGGACACATATCACCAACAAGTTTCTGAGAATGCTTCTGTCTATTTTTTATGGGAAGATATTTCCTTTTCCACCGTAGGCGTCAAGGCGATCGAAATGTCCACTTCCAGAAACTACAAAATGAGTGTTTCAAACCTGCTCTATGAAAGGCCATGTTCATCTCTATGAGTTGAATGGAAATATCCGAAAGAAATTTCTGGGAATGCTGCTGTCTAGTGTTTATACGAATTCCCGCTTCCAACGAAATCCTCAAAGCAATCCAAATATCCACTTGCAGAATCCACAAAAAGAGTGTTTCAAAACTGCTCTATCAATAGAAAGGTTCAACTCTTTTAGTTGAGTACACACATCACGAACAAGTTTCTGAGAATGCTTCTGTCTGGCTTGTATTGGAAGACGTTTCCTTTTCACCAAAGGCATCAAAGCGCTCCAAATGTCCACTTCCAGATTCTTCCAAAAGAGTGTTTCAAACGTGCTCAAAGTAAGGGAATGTTCAACTCTGTGACTTGAATGCAGATATCACCAAGTAGTTTCTAATAGTGCTTCTGTCTAGATTTTAGATGATGATATTCCCGTTTCCAACGAAATCGTTAGAGCTATCCAAATATCCACTTACAGTTTCTACAAAAAGAGTGTTTCCAAACTGCTGCATCAAAAGAAAGGTTCAACTCTGTTAGTTGAAGACACACGTCACAAAGTAGTTTGTGAGAATGCTTCTGTCTAGATTTTGTATGACCATATTCCCTTTTCCAACGATATCGTTAAAGCAATCTAAATATCAATTTGCAGAATCCACAAAAATAGAGTTTCATAGCTGCTCTGTAAAAAGAAAGGTTCCACTCTGTTAGCTGAGTACACACATCACAAACTTGTTTCTGAGAATCCTTCTGTCTAGTTTTTATGGGAAGATATTTACTTTTTCACTGTAGGTATCAAAGCGCTCCAAATGTCCACATCCAGATACTACAGAAAGAGTGTTTCAAACCTGCTCTATGAAAGGGAATCTTCAACTCTATGAGTTGAATGCAGACATCAGAAAGTAATTTCTGAGAATGCTGCTGTCTAACTTTTATTTGAATTCCCGCTTCCAACGAAATCCTCCAAGCTATCCAAATATCCACCTGCATTTTCCACAAAAAGAGTGTTTCAAAACTGCTCTATTAATAGAAATGTTCAACTCCTTTGGCTGGGTACACACATCACAAACAAGTTTCTGAGAATGCTTCTGTCTAGTTTTTATGGGAAGACATTCCCTTTTTCACCAAAGGCATCAAAGCGCTCCAAATGTCCACTTCCAGACACTACAAAAAGAGTGTTTCAAACGTGCTCTAAGAAAGCGAATGTTCAACTCTGTGACTTGAATGCAGATATCACAAAGTAGTTTCTGGAGAGTGCTTCTCTCTAGATTTTATATGATGATATTCCCGTTTCCAACGAAATCATTAGAGCTATCCAAATATCCACTTACAGTTTCTACAAAAAGAGTGTTTCCAAACTGCTGCATCAAAAGAGAGGTTCCACTCTGTTAGCTGAGTACACACATCACAAACTTGTTTCTGAGAATCCTTCTGTCTCGTTTTTATGGGAAGATATTTACTTTTTCACCGTAGGCATCAAAGCGCTCCAAATGTCCACATCCAGATACTTCAGAAAGAGTGTTTCAAACCTGCTCTATGAAAGGGAATCTTCAACTCTATGAGTTGAATGCAGACATCAGAAAGAAATTTCTGAGAATGCTGCTTTCTACCTTTCATTTGAATTCCCGCTTCCAACGAAATCCTCCAAGCTATCCAAATATTCACTTGCAGATTCCACAAAAAGAGTGTTTCAAAACTACTCTATCAATAGAAAGGTACAACTCTGTCAGTTGAGGACACACATCACAAACAAGTTTCTGAGAATTCTGTCTATTTTTTATGGGAAGATATTTCCTTTTTCACCGTAGGCGTCAAGGCGATCGAAATGTCCACTTCCACAAACTACAAAAAGAGTGTTTCAAACCTGCTCTATGAAAGGCGATGTTCATCTCTATGAGTTGAATGGAAATATCCGAAAGAAATTTCTGGGAATGCTGCTGTCTAGATTTTATATGAATTCCCGCTTCCAACGAAATCCTCAAAGCAATCCAAATATCCACTTGCAGAATCCACAAAAAGAGTGTTTCAAAACTGCTCTATCAATAGAAAGGTTCAACTCTTTTAGTTGAGTACACACATCACAAACAAGTTTCTGAGAATGCTTCTGTCTGGCTTTTATTGGAAGACGTTTCCTTTTCACCAAAGGCATCAAAGCGCTCCAAATGTCCACTTCCAGATTCTTCCAAAAGAGTGTTTCAAACGTGCTCGAAGTAAGGGAATGTTCTACTCTGTGACTTGAATGCAGATATCACCAAGTAGTTTCTAATAGTGCTTCTGTCTAGATTTTAGATGATGATATTCCCGTTTCCAACGAAATCGCTAGCAGCTATCCAAATATCCAGTTACAGTTTCTACCAAAAGGGTGTTTCCAAATTGCTGCATCAAAAGAAAGGTTCAACTCTGTTAGTTGAGGACACACGTCACAAAGAAGTTTGTGAGAATGCTTCTGTCTAGATTTTGTATGAAGATATTCCCTTTTCCAACGATGTCGTTAAATCAACCCAAATATCAATTTGCAGAATCCACAGAAATAGAGTTTCAAAGCTGCTCTGTAAAAAGAAAGGATCCACTCTGTTAGCTGAGTTCACACATCCCAAACTTGTTTCTGAGAATCTTTCTGTCTCGTTTTTATGGGAAGATATTTACTTTTTCACCGTAGGCATCAAAGCGCTCCAAATGTCCACATCCAGATACTCCAGAAAGACTGTTTCAAACCTGCTCTATGAAAGGGAATCTTCAACTCTATGAGTTGAATGCAGACATCACAAAGAAATTTCTGAGAATGCTGCTGTCTACCTTTTATTTGAATTCCCGCTTCCAACGAAATCCTCCAAGCTATCCAAATATCCCCTTGCATTTTCCACAAAAAGAGTGTTTCAAAACTGCTCTATCAATAGAAATGTTCAACTCCTTTAGCTGGGTATACACATCACAAACAAGTTTCTGAGAATGCTTCTGTCTAGTTTTTATGGGTAGACATTCCCTTTTTCACCAAAGGAATCAAAGCGCTCCAAATGTCCACTTCCAGAAACTACAAAAAGAGTGTTTCAAACGTGCTCTAAGAAAGCGAATGTTCAACTCTGTGACTTGAATGCAGATATCACAAAGTAGTTTCTGAGAGGGCTTCTGTCTAGATTTTAGATGATGATATTCCCGTTTCCAACGAAATCATTAGAGCTATCCAAATATCCACTTACAGTTTCTACAAAAAGAGTGTTTCCAAACTGCTGCATCAAAAGAGAGGTTCCACTTTGTTAGCTGAGTACACACATCACAAACTTGTTTCTCAGAATCCTTCTGTCTCTTTTTTATGGGAAGATATTTACTTTTTCACCGTAGGCGTCAAAGCGCTCCAAATGTCCACATCCAGATAGTACAGAAAGAGTGTTTCAAACCTGCTCTATGAAAGGGAATCTTCAACTCTATGAGTTGAATGCAGACATCAGAAAGAAATTTCTGAGAATGCTCTGTCTACCTTTTATTTGAATTCCCGCTTCCAACGAAATCCTCCAAGCTATCCAAATATCCACTTGCAGATTCCACAAAAAGAGTGTTTCAAAACTGCTCTCTATCAATGGCAAAGTTCAACTCTGTTAGTTGAGGACACATATCACCAACAAGTTTCTGAGAATGCTTTCTGTCTATTTTTTATGGGAAGATATTTCCTTTTTCACCGTAGGCGTGAAGGCGATCGAAATGTCCACTTCCACAAACTACAAAAAGAGTGTTTCAAACCTGCTCTATGAAAGGCCATGTTCATCTCTATGAGTTGAATGGAAATATCCGAAAGTAATTTCTGGGAATGCTGCTGTCTAGTGTTTATATGAATTCCCGCTTCCAACGAAATCCTCAAAGCAATCCAAATATCCACTTGCAGAATCCACAAAAAGAGTGTTTCAAAACTGCTATATCAATAGAAAGGTTCAACTCTTTTAGTTGAGTACACACATCACGAACAAGTTTCTCAGAATGCTTCTGTCTGGCTTTTATTGGAAGACGTTTCCTTTTCACCAAAGGCATCAAAGCGCTCCAAATGTCCACTTCCAGATTCTTCCAAAAGAGTGTTTCAAACGTGCTCGAAGTAAGGGAATGTTCTACTCTGTGACTTGAATGCAGATATCACCATGTAGTTTCTAATAGTGCTTCTGTCTAGATTTTAGATGATGATATTCCCGTTTCCAACGAAATCGTTAGAGCTATCCAAATATCCAGTTACAGTTCCTACCAAAAGGGTGTTTCCAAATTGCTGCATCAAAAGAAAGGTTCAACTCTGTTAGTTGAGGACACACATCACAAAGAAGTTTGTGAGAATGCTTCTGTCTAGATTTTGTATGACGATATTCCCTTTTCCAACGATATCGTTAAAGCAATCTAAATACCAATTTGCAGAATCTACAAAAATAGAGTTTCAAAGCTGCTCTGTAAAAAGAAAGGTTCCACTCTGTTAGCTGAGTACACACATCACAAACTTGTTTCTCAGAATCCTTCTGTCTAGTTTTTATGGGAAGATATTTACTTTTTCACCGTAGGTATCAAAGCGCTCCAAATGTCCACATCCAGATTCTACAGAAAGAGTGTTTCAAACCTGCTCTATGAAAGGGAATCTTCAACTCTATGAGTTGAATGCAGACATCAGAAAGTAGTTTCTGAGAATGCTGCTGTCTACCTTTTATTTGAATTCCCGCTTCCAACGAAATCCTCCAAGCTATCCAAATATCCACCTGCATTTTCCACAACAAGAGTGTTTCAAAACTGCTCTATCAATAGAAATGTTCAACTCCTTTGGCTGGGTACACACATCACAAACAAGTCTCTGAGAATGCTTCTGTCTAGTTTTTATGGGAAGACATTCCCTTTTTCACCAAAGACATCAAAGCGCTCCAAATGTCCACTTCCAGACACTACAAAAAGAGTGTTTCAAACGTGCTCTAAGAAAGCGAATGTTCAAGTCTGTGACTTGAATGCAGATATCACAAAGTAGTTTCTGAGAGTGCTTCTGTCTAGATTTTAGATGATGATATTCCCGTTTCCAACGAAATCATTAGAGCTATCCAAATATCCACTTACAGTTTCTACAAAAAGAGTGTTTCCAAACTGCTGCATCAAAACAGAGGTTCCACTCTGTTAGCTGAGTACACACATCACAAACTTGTTTCTCAGAATCCTTGCTGTCTACCTTTTATTTGAATTCCCGCTTGCAACGAAATCCTCCAAGCTATCCAAATATCCACTTGCAGATTCCACAAAAAGAGTGTTTCAAAACTGCTCTCTATCAATGGCAAAGTTCAACTCTGTTAGTTGAGGACACATATCACCAACAAGTTTCTGAGAATGCTTCTGTCTATTTTTTATGGGAAGATATTTCCTTTTTCACCGTAGGCGTCAAGGCGATCGAAATGTCCACTTCCACAAACTACAAAAAGAGTGTTTCAAACCTGCCCTATGAAAGGCCATGTTCATCTCTATGAGTTGAATGGAAATATCCGAAAGAAATTTCTGTGAATGCTGCTGTCTAGTTTTTATACGAATTCCCGCTTCCAATGAAATCCTCAAAGCAATCCAAATATCCACTTGCAGAATCCACAAAAAGAGTGTTTCAAAACTGCTCTATCAATAGAAAGGTTCAAATCTTTTAGTTGAGTACACACATCACGAACAAGTTTCTGAGAATGCTTCTGTCTGGCTTTTGTTGGAAGAGGTTTGCTTTTCACCAAAGGCATCAAAGCGCTCCAAATGTCCACTTCCAGATTCTTCCAAAAGAGTGTTTCAAACGTGCTCAAAGTAAGGGAATGTTCAACTCCGTGACTTGAATGCAGATATCACCAAGTAGTTTCTAATAGTGCTTCTGTCTAGATTTTAGATGATGATATTCCCGTTTCCAACGAAATCGTTAGAGCTATCCAAATATCCACTTACAGTTTCTACAAAAAGAGTGTTTCCAAACTGCTGCATCAAAAGAAAAGTTCAACTCTGTTAGTTGAGGACACACATCACAAAGAAGTTTGTGAGAATGCTTTCTGTCTAGATTTTGTATGACGATATTCCCTTTTCCAACGATATCGTTAAAGCAATCTAAATATCAATTTGCAGAATCCACAAAAATAGAGTTTCAAAACTGCTCTGTAAAAAGAAAGGTTCCACTCTGTTAGCTGAGTACACACATCACAAACTTGTTTCTCAGAATCCTTCTGTCTCGTTTTTATGGGAAGATATTTACTTTCTCACCGTAGGCATCAAAGCGCTCCAAATGTCCACATCCAGATACTCCAGAAAGAGTGTTTCAAACCTGCTCTATGAAAGGGAATCTTCAACTCTATGAGTTGAATGCAGACATCAGAAAGAAATTTCTGAGAATGCTGCTGTCTAACTTTTATTTGAATTCCCGCTTCCAACGAAATCCTCCAAGCTATCCAAATATCCACTTGCAGATTCCACAAAAAGAGTGTTTCAAAACTGCTCTCTATCAATGGCACAGTTCAACTCTGTTAGTTGAGGACACATATCACCAACAAGTTTCTGAGAATGCTTCTGTCTATTTTTTATGGGAAGATATTTCCTTTTTCACCATAGGCATCAGGGCGATCGAAATGTCCACTTCCACAAACTACAAAAAGAGTGTTTCAAACCTGCTCTATGAAAGGCAATGTTCATCTCTATGAGTTGAATGGAAATATCCGAAAGAAATTTCTGGGAATGCTGCTGTCTACTTTTTTATGAATTCCCGCTTCCAACGAAATCCTCAAAGCAATCCAAATATCCACTTGCAGATTCCACAAAAAGAGTGTTTCAAAACTGCTCTATCAATAGAAAGGTTCAACTCTTTTAGTTGAGTACACACATCACATACAAGTTTCTGAGAATGCTTCTGTCTGGCTTTTATTGGAAGACGTTTCCTTTTCACCAAAGGCATCAAAGCGCTCCAAATGTCCACTTCCAGATTCTTCTAAAAGAGTGTTTCAAACGTGCTCAAAGTAAGGGAATGTTCAACTCTTTGACTTGAATGCAGATATCACCAAGTAGTTTCTAATAGTGCTTCTGTCTAGATTTTAGATGATGATATTCCCGTTTCCAACGAAATCGTTAGAGCTATCCAAATATCCACTTACAGTTTCTACAAAAAGAGTGTTTCCAAACTGCTGCATCAAAAGAAAGGTTCAACTCTGTTAGTTGAGGACACACATCACAAAGAAGTTTGTGGGAATGCTTCTGTCCAGATTTTGTATGACGATATTCCCTTTTCCAACGATATCGTTAAAGCAATCTAAATATCAGTTTGCAGAATCCACAAAAATAGAGTTTCAAAGCTGCTCTGTAAAAAGAAAGGTTCCACTCTGTTAGCTGAGTACACACATCACAAACTTGTTTCTGAGAATCCTTCTGTCTCGTTTTTATGGGAGGATATTTACTTTTTCACCGTAGGCATCAAAGCGCTCCAAATGTCCACATCCAGATACTCCAGAAAGAGTGTTTCAAACCTGCTCTATGAAAGGGAATCTTCAACTCTATGAGTTGAATGCAGACATCAGAAAGAAATTTCTGAGAATGCTGCTGTCTACCTTTTATTTGAATTCAAGCTTCCAACGAAATCCTCCAAGCTATCCAAATATCCACTTGCATTTTCCACAAAAAGAGTGTTTCAAAACTGCTCTATCAATAGAAATGTTCAACTCCTTTAGCTGGGTACACACATCACAAACAAGTTTCTGAGAATGCTTCTGTCTAGTTTTTATGGGAAGACATTTCCTTTTTCGCCAAAGGCATCAAAGAGCTCCAAATGTCCACTTCCAGATACTACAAAAAGAGTGTTTCAAAAGTGCTGTAAGAAAGCGAATGTTCAACTCTGTGACTTGAATGCAGATATCACAAAGTAGTTTCTGAGAGTGCTTCTGTCTAGATTTTAGATGATGATATTCCCGTTTCCAAAGAAATCATTAGAGCTATCCAAATATCCACTTACAGTTTCTACAAAAAGAGTGTTTCCAAACTGCTGCGTCAAAAGAGAGGTTCCACTCTGTTAGCTGAGTACACACATCACAAACTTGTTTCTGAGAATCCTTCTGTCTAGTTTTTATGGGAAGATATTTACTTTTTCACCGTAGGCATCAAAGCGTTCCAAATGTCCACATCCAGATAGTACAGAAAGAGTGTTTCAAACCTGCTCTGTGAAAGGGAATGTTCAACTCTATGAGTTGAATGCAAACATCACAAAGAAATTTCTGAGAATGCTGCTGTCTACCTTTTATTTGAATTCCCGCTTCCAACGAAATCCTCCAGGCTTTCCAAATATCTACTTGCAGATTCCACAAAAAGAGGGTTTCAAAACTGCTCTATCAATGGCAAGGTTCAACTCTGTCAGTTGAGGATACACATCACAAACAAGTTTCTGAGATTTCTGCTGTCTACCTTTCATTTGAATTCCCGCTTCCAACGAAATCCTCCAGGCTATCCAAATATCCACTTGCAGATTCCACAAAAAGAGTGTTTCAAAACTGCTCTATCAATGGCAAGGTTCAACTCTGTCAGTTGAGGATACACATCACAAACAAGTTTCTGAGAATTCTGCTGTCTACTTTTTTATGAATTCCCGCTTCCAACGAAATCCTCAAAGCAATCCAAATATCCACTTGCAGATTCCACAAAAAGAGTGTTTCAAAACTGCTCTATCAATAGAAAGGTTCAACTCTTTTAGTTGAGTACACACATCACAAACAAGTTTCTGAGAAAGCTTCTGTCTGGCTTTTATTGGAAGACGTTTCCTTTTCACCAAAGGCATCAAAGCGCTCCAAATGTCCACTTCCAGATTCTTCCAAAAGAGTGTTTCAAACGTGCTCAAAGTAAGGGAATGTTCAATTCTGTGAGTTGAATGCAGATATCACCAAGCAGTTTCTAATAGTGTTTCTCTCTAGATTTTAGATGATGATATTCCCGTTTCCAACGAAATCGTTAGAGCTATCCAAATATCCAGTTACAGTTTCTACCAAAAGGGTGTTTCCAAACTGCTGCATCAAAAGAATGGTTCAACTCTGTTAGTTGAGGACACACATCACAAAGAAGTTTGTGAGAATGCTTCTGTCTAGATTTTGTATGACGATATTCCCTTTTCCAACGATATCGTTAAAGCAATCTAAATATCAATTTGAAGAATCCACAAAAATAGAGTTTCAAAGCTGCTCTGTAAAAAGAAAGGTTCCACTCTGTTAGCTGAGTACACACATCACAAACTTGTTTCTGAGAATCCTTCTGTCTAGTTTTTATGGGAAGATATTTACTTTTTCACCGTAGGCATCAAAGCGTTCCAAATGTCCATTTCCAGATAGTACAGAAAGAGTGTTTCAAACCTGCTCTATGAAAGGGAATGTTCAACTCTATATGTTGAATGCAAACATCACAAAGAAATTTCTGAGAATGCTGCTGTCTACCTTTTATTTGAATTCCCGCTTCCAACGAAATCCTCCAGGCTATCCAAATATCCACTTGCAGAATCCACAAAAAGAGTGTTTCAAAGCTGTTCTATCAATGGCAAGGTTCAACTCTGTCAGTTGAGGATACACATCACAAACAAGTTTCTGAGAATTCTTCTGTTTAGTTTTTATGGGTAGACATTCCCTTTTTCACCAAAGGAATCAAAGCGCTCCAAATGTCCACTTCCAGACACTACAAAAAGAGTGTTTCAAACGTGCTCTAAGAAAGCGAATGTTCAACTCTGTGACTTGAATGCAGATATCACAAAGTAGTTTCTGAGAGTGCTTCTGTCTAGATTTTAGATGATGATATTCCCGTTTCCAACGAAATCATTAGAGCTATCCAAATATCCACTTACAGTTTCTACAAAAAGAGTGTTTCTAAACTGCTGCATCCAAAGAGAGGTTCCACTCTGTTAGCTGAGTACACACATCACAAACTTGTTTCTCAGAATCCTTCTGTCTCGTTTTTATGGGAAGATATTTACTTTCTCACCGTAGGCATCAAAGCGCTCCAAATGTCCACATCCAGATACTCCAGAAAGAGTGTTTCAAACCTGCTCTATGAAAGGGAATCTTCAACTCTATGAGTTGAATGCAGACATCAGAAAGAAATTTCTGAGAATGCTGCTGTCTACCTTTCATTTGAATTCCCGCTTCCAACGAAATCGTCCAAGCTATCCAAATATTCACTTGCAGATTCCACAAAAAGAGTGTTTCAAAACTACTCTATCAATAGAAAGGTACAACTCTGTCAGTTGAGGACACACATCACAAACAAGTTTCTGAGAATTCTGTCTATTTTTTATGGGAAGATATTTCCTTTTTCACCATAGGCGTCAAGGCGATCGAAATGTCCACTTCCACAAACTACAAAAAGAGTGTTTCAAACCTGCTCTATGAAAGGCCATGTTCATCTCTATGAGTTGAATGGAAATATCCGAAAGAAATTTCTGGGAATGCTGCTGTCTAGTGTTTATACGAATTCCCGCTTCCAACGAAATCTTCAAAGCAATCCAAATATCCACTTGCAGAATCCACAAAAAGAGTGTTTCAAAACTGCTCTATCAATAGAAATGTTCAACTCCTTTGGCTGGGTACACACATCACAAACAAGTTTCTGAGAATGCTTCTGTCTGGCTTTTATTGGAAGACGTTTCCTTTTCACCAAAGGCATCAAAGCGCTCCAAATGTCCACTTCCAGATTCTTCCAAAAGAGTGTTTCAAACGTGCTTAAAGTAAGGGAATGTTCAACTCTTTGACTTGAATGCAGATATCACCAAGTAGTTTCTAATAGTGCTTCTGTCTAGATTTTAGATGATGATATTCCCGTTTCCAACGAAATCGTTAGAGCTATCCAAATATCCACTTACAGTTTCTGCAAAAAGAGTGTTTCCAAACTGCTGCATCAAAAGAAAGGTTCAACTCTGTTAGTTGAGGACACACATCACAAAGAAGTTTGTGAGAATGCTTTCTGTCTAGTATTTTGTATGACCATATTCCCTTTTCCAGCGATATCGTTAAAGCAATCTAAATATCCATTTGCAGAATCCACAAAAATAGAGTTTCAAAGCTGCTCTGTAAAAAGAAAGGTTCCACTCTGTTAGCTGAGTACACACATCACAAACTTGTTTCTCAGAATCCTGCTGTCTACCTTTTATTTGAATTCCCGCTTCCAACGAAATCCTCCAAGCTATCCAAATATCCACTTGCAGTTTCCACAAAAAGAGTGTATCAAAACTGCTCTATCAATAGAAATGTTCAACTCCTTTAGCTGGGTACACACATCACAAACAAGTTTCTGAGAATGCTTATCTGTCTAGTTTTTATGGGAAGACATTCCCTTTTTCACCAAAGGCATCAAAGTGCGCCAAATGTCCACTTCCAGACACTACAAAAAGAGTGTTTCAAACGTGCTCTAAGAAAGCGAATGTTCAACTCTGTGACTTGAATGCAGATATCACAAAGTAGTTTCTGAGAGGGCTTCTGTGTAGATTTTAGATGATGATATTCCCGTTTCCAACGAAATCATTAGAGCTATCCAAATATCCACTTACAGTTTCTACAAAAAGAGTGTTTCCAAACTGCTGCATCAAAAGAGAGGTTCCACTCTGTTAGCTGAGTACACACATCACAAACTTGTTTCTCAGAATCCTTCTGTCTCGTTTTTATGGGAAGATATTTACTTTTTCACCGTAGGCATCAAAGCGCTCCAAATGTCCACATCCAGATACTCCAGAAAGAGTGTTTCAAACCTGCTCTCTGAAAGGGAATGTTCAACTCTATGAGTTGAATGCAGACATCAGAAAGAAATTTCTGAGAATGCTGCTGTCTACCTTTCATTTGAATTCCCGCTTCCAACGAAATCCTCCAGGCTATCCAAATATCCACTTGCAGAGTCCACAAACAGAGGGTTTCTAAACTGCTCTATCAATGGCAAGGTTCAACTCTGTCAGTTGAGGATACACATCACAAATAAGTTTCTGAGAAATCTTCTGTCTATTTTTTATGGGAAGATATTTCCTTTTTCACCGTAGGCGTCAAGGCGATCGAAATGTCCACTTCCACAAACTACAAAAAGAGTGTTTCAAACCTGCTGTATGAAAGGCCATGTTCATCTCTATGAGTCGAATGGAAATATCCGAAAGAAATTTCTGGGAATGCTGCTGTCTAGTTTTTATACGAATTCCCGCTTCCAACGAAATCCTCAAAGCAATCCAAATATCCACTTGCAGAATCCACAAAAAGAGTGTTTTAAAACTGCTCTATCAATAGAAAGGTTCAACTCTTTTAGTTGAGTACACACATCACAAACAAGTTTCTGAGAATGCTTCTGTCTGGCTTTTATTGGAAGACGTTTCCTTTTCACCAAAGGCATCAAAGCTCTCCAAATGTCCACTTCCAGATTCTTCCAAAAGAGTGTTTCAAACGTGCTCAAAGTAAGGGAATGTTCAACTCTGTGACTTGAATGCAGATATCACCAAGTAGTTTCTAATAGTGCTTCTCTCTAGATTTTAGATGATGATATTCCCGTTTCCAACGAAATCGTTAGAGCTATCCAAATATCCAGTTACAGTTTCTACAAAAAGGGTGTTTCCAAACTGCTGCATCAAAAGAAAGGTTCAACTCTGTTAGTTGAGGACACACATCACAAAGAAGTTTGTGAGAATGCTTCTGTCTAGATTTTGTATGACGATATTCCCTTTTCCAACGATATCGGTTAAAGCAATCTAAATACCAATTTGCAGAATCCACAAAAATAGAGTTTCAAAGCTGCTCTGTAAAAAGAAAGGTTCCACTCTGTTAGCTGAGTACACACATCACAAACTTGTTTCTGAGAATCCTTCTGTCTCGTTTTTATGGGAAGATATTTACTTTTTCACCGCAGGCATCAAAGCGCGCCAAATGTCCACATCCAGATACTCCAGAAAGAGTGTTTCAAACCTGCTCTATGAAAGGGAATCTTCAACTCTATGAGTTGAATGCAGACATCAGAAAGAAATTTCTGAGAATGCTGCTGTCTACCTTTTATTTGAATTCCCGCTTCCAACAAAAACCTCCAAGCTACCCAAATATCCACTTGCAGATTCCACAAAAAGAGTGTTTCAAAACTGCTCTATCAATAGAAATGTTCAACTCCTTTCGCTGGGTACACACATCACAAACAAGTTTCTGAGAAAGCTTCTGTCTAGTTTTTATGGGAAGACATTCCCTTTTTCACCAAAGGCATCAAAGCGCTCCAAATGTCCACTTCCAGACACTACAAAAAGATTGTTTCAAACGTGCTCTAAGAAACCGAATGTTCAACTCTGTGACTTCAATGCAGATATCACAAAGTAGTTTCTGAGAGGGCTTCTGTCTAGATTTTAGATGATGATATTCCCATTTCCAACGAAATCATTAGAGCTATCCAAATATCCACTTACAGTTTCTACAAAAAGAGTGTTTCCAAACTGCTGCATCAAAAGAGAGGTTCCACTCTGTTAGCTGAGTACACACATCACAAACTTGTTTCTGAGAATCCTTCTGTCTAGTTTTTATGGGAAGATATTTACTTTTTCACTGTAGGTATCAAAGCGCTCCAAATGTCCACATCCAGATACTACAGAAAGAGTGTTTCAAACCTGCTCTATGAAAGGGAATCTTCAACTCTATGAGTTGAATGCAGACATCAGAAAGTAATTTCTGAGAATGCTGCTGTCAACCTTTCATTTGAATTCCCGCATCCAACGAAATCCTCCAAGCTATCCAAATATCCACTTGCAGATTCCACAAAAAGAGTGTTTCTAAACTGCTCTATCAATGGCAAGGTTCAACTCTGTCAGTTGAGGATACACATCACAAACAAGTTTCTGAGAATTCTTCTGTCTATTTTTTATGGGAAGATATTTCCTTTTTCACCGTAGACGTCAAGGCGATCGAAATGTCCACTTCCACAAACTACAAAAAGAGTGTTTCAAACCTGCTCTATGAAAGGCAATGTTCATCTCTATGAGTTGAATGGAAATATCCGAAAGAAATTTCTGGGAATGCTGCTGTCTAGTGTTTATACGAATTCCCGCTTCCAACGAAATCCTCAAAGCAATCCAAATATCCACTTGCAGAATCCACAAAAAGAGTGTTTCAAAACTGCTCTATCAATAGAAAGGTTCAACTCTTTTAGTTGAGTGCTCACATCACAAACAAGTTTCTGAGAATGCTTCTGTCTGGCTTTTATTGGAAGACGTTTCCTTTTCACCAAAGGCATCAAAGCGTTACAAATGTCCACTTCCAGATTCTTCCAAAAGAGTGTTTCAAACGTGCTCAAAGTAAGGGAATGTTCAACTCTGTGACTTGAATGCAGATATCACCAAGTAGTTTCTAATGGTGCTTCTGTCTAGATTTTAGATGATGATATTCCCGTTTCCAAAGAAATCGTTAGAGCTATCCAAATATCCAGTTACAGTTTCTACCAAAAGGTTGTTTCCAAACTGCTGCATCAAAAGAAAGGTTCAACTCTATTAGTTGAGGACACACATCACAAAGAAGTTTGTGAGAATGCTTCTGTCTAGATTTTGTATGACGATATTCCCTTTTCCAACGATATCGTTAAAGCAATCTAAATACCAATTTGCAGAATCCACAAAAATAGAGTTTCAAAGCTGCTCTGTAAAAAGAAAGGTTCCACTCTGTTAGCTGAGTACACACATCACAAACTTGTTTCTGAGAATCCTTCTGTCTCGTTTTTCTGGGAAGATATTTACTTTTTCACCGTAGGCATCAAAGCGCTCCAAATGTCCACATCCAGATACTCCAGAAAGAGTGTTTCAAACCTGCTCTATGAAAGGGAATCTTCAACTCTATGAGTTGAATTCAAGACATCAGAAAGAAATTTCTGAGAATGCTGCTGTCTTCCTTTCATTTGAATTCCCGCTTCCAACGAAATCCTCCAAGCTATCCAAATATTCACTTGCAGATTCCACAAAAAGAGTGTTTCAAAACTACTCTATCAATAGAAAGGTACAACTCTGTCAGTTGAGGACACACATCACAAACAAGTTTCTGAGAATTCTGTCTATTTTTTATGGGAAGATATTTCTTTTCACCGTAGGCGTCAAGGCGATCGAAATGTCCACTTCCACAAACTACAAAAAGAGTGTTTCAAACCTGCTCTATGAAAGGCCATGTTCATCTCTATGAGTTGAATGGAAATATGAGAAAGAAATTTCTGGGAATGCTGCTGTCTAGTTTTTATATGAATTCCCGCTTCCAACGAAATCCTCAAATCAATCCAAATATCCACTTGCAGAATCCACAAAAAGAGTGTTTCAAAACTGCTCTATCAATAGAAAGGTTCAACTCTTTTAGTTGAGTACACACATCACGAACAGGTTTCTGAGAATGCTTCTGTCTGGCTTTTATTGGAAGGCGTTTCCTTTTCACCAAAGGCATCAAAGCGCTCCAAATGTCCACTTAAAGATTCTTCCAAAAGAGTGTTTGAAACGTGCTCAAAGTAAGGGAATGTTCAACTCTGTGACTTGAATGCAGATATCACCAAGTAGTTTCTAATAGTGCTTCTGTGTATACTTTAGATGAAGATATTCCCGTTTCCAACGATATCGTTAGACCTATCCAAATATCCACTTACAGTTTCTACAAAAAGAGTGTTTCCAAACTGCTGCATCAAAAGAAAGTTTCAACTCTGTTAGTTGTGGACACACATCACAAAGAAGTTTCTGAGAAAGCTTCTGTCTAGATTTTGTATGAAGATATTCCCTTTTCCAACGATGTCGTTAAATCAACCCAAATATCAATTTGCAGAATCCACAGAAATAGAGTTTCAAAGCTGCTCTGTAAAAAGAAAGGATCCACTCTGTTAGCTGAGTTCACACATCACAAACTTGTTTCTGAGAATCCTTCTGTCTCGTTTTTATGGGAAGATATTTACATTTTCACCGTAGGCATCAAAGCGCTCCAAATGTCCACATCCAGATACTCCAGAAAGAGTGTTTCAAACCTGCTCTATGAAAGGGAATCTTCAACTCTATGAGTTGAATGCAGACATCAGAAAGAAATTTCTGAGAATGCTGCTGTCTACCTTTTATTTGAATTCCCGCTTCCAACGAAAACCTCCAAGCTATCCAAATATCCACTTGCAGATTCCACAAAAAGAGTGTTTCAAAACTGCTCTATCAATAGAAATGTTCAACTCTTTTCGCTGGGTACACACATCAAAAACAAGTTTCTGAGAATGCTTCTGTCTAGTTTTTATGGGAAGACATTCCCTTTTTCACCAAAGGCATCAAAGCGCTCCAAATGTCCACTTCCAGACACTACAAAAAGAGTGTTTCAAACGTGCTCTAAGAAAGCGAATGTTCAACTCTGTGACTTGAAGGCAGATATCACAAAGTAGTTTCTGAAAGGGCTTCTGTCTAGATTTTAGATGATGATATTCCCGTTTCCAAAAAAATCGTTAGAGCTATCCAAATATCCACTTACAGTTTCTACAAAAAGAGTGTTTCCAAACTGCTGCATCAAAACAGAGGTTCCACTCTGTTAGCTGAGTACACACATCACAAACTTGTTTCTCAGAATCCTTCTGTCTCGTTTTTATGGGAAGATATTTACTTTTTCACCGTAGGCATCAAAGCGCTCCAAATGTCCACATCCAGATACTCCAGAAAGAGTGTTTCAAATCTGCTCTATGAAAGGGAATGTTCAACTCTATGAGTTGAATGCAGACATCAGAAAGAAATTTCTGAGAATGCTGCTGTCTACCTTTCATTTGAATTCCCGCTTCCAACGAAATCCTCCAAGCTATCCAAATATTCACTTGCAGATTCCACAAAAAGAGTGTTTCAAAACTACTCTATCAATAGAAAGGTACAACTCTGTCAGTTGAGGATACACATCACAAACAAGTTTCTGAGAATTCTGTCTATTTTTTATGGGAAGATAATTCCTTTTTCAGCGTAGGCGTAAAGGCGATCGAAATGTCCACTTCCACAAACTACAAAAAGAGTGTTTCAAACCTGCTCTATGAAAGGCCATGTTCATCTCTATGAGTTGAAAGGAAATATCCGAAAGTAATTTCTGGGAATGCTGCTGTCTAGTTTTTATACGAATTCCCGCTTCCAACGAAATCCTCAAAGCAATCCAAATATCCACTTGCAGAATCCACATAAGAGAGTTTCAAAACTGCTCTATCAATACAAAGGTTCAACTCTTTTAGTTGAGTACACACATCACAAACAAGTTTCTGAGAATGCTTCTGTCTGGCTTTTATTGGAAGACGTTTCCTTTTCACCAAAGGCATCAAAGCGCTCCAAATGTCCACTTCCAGATTCTTCCAAAAGAGTGTTTCAAACGTGCTCAAAGTAAGGGAATGTTCAACTCTTTGACTTGAATGCAGATATCACCAAGTAGTTTCTAATAGTGCTTCTGTCTAGATTTTAGATGATGATATTCCCGTTTCCAACGAAATCGTTAGAGCTATCCAAATATCCACTTACAGTTTCTACAAAAAGAGTGTTTCCAAACTGCTGCATCAAAAGAAAGGTTCAACCCTGTTAGTTGAGGACACACATCACAAAGAAGTTTGTGAGAATGCTTCTGTCCAGATTTTGTATGACGATATTCCCTTTTCCAACGATATCATTAAAGCAATCTAAATATCCATTTGCAGAATCCACAAAAATAGAGTTTCAAAGCTGCTCTGTAAAAAGAAAGGTTCCACTCTGTTAGCTGAGTACACACATCACAAACTTGTCTCTCAGAATCCTTCTGTCTAGTTTTTATGGGAAGATATTTACTTTCTCACCGTAGGTATCAAAGCGCTCCAAATGTCCACATCCAGATACTACAGAAAGAGTGTTTCAAACCTGCTCTATGAAAGGGAATCTTCAACTCTATGAGTTGAATGCAGACATCAGAAAGTAATTTCTGAGAATGCTGCTGTCTACCTTTTATTTGAATTCCCGCTTCCAACGAAATCCTCCAAGCTATTCAAATATCCACTTGCATTTTCCACAAAAAGAGTGTTTCAAAACTGCTCTATCAATAGAAACGTTCAACTCCTTTAGCTGGGTACACACATCACAAAGAAGTTTCTGAGAATGCTTCTGTCTAGTTTTTATGGGAAGACATTCCCTTTTTCACCAAAGGCATCGAAGCGCTCCAAATGTCCACTTCCAGACACTACAAAAAGAGTGTTTCAAACGTGCTCTAAGAAAGCGAATGTTCAACTCTGTGACTTGAATGCAGATATCACAAAGTAGTTTCTGAGAGGGCTTCTGTCTAGATTTTAGATGATGATATTCCCGTTTCCAACGAAATCATTAGAGCTATCCAAATATCCACTTACAGTTTCTACAAAAAGAGTGTTTCCAAACTGCTGCATCGAAAGAGAGGTTCCACTCTGTTAGCTGAGTACACACATCACAAACTTGTTTCTGAGAATCCTTCTGTGTCGTTTTTATGGGAAGATATTTACTTTTTCACCGTAGGCATCAAAGCGCTCCAAATGTCCACATCCAGATACTCCAGAAAGAGTGTTTCAAACCTGCTCTATGAAAGGGAATCTTCAACTCTATGAGTTGAATGCAGACATCAGAAAGAAATTTGCTGAGAATGCTGCTGTCTACCTTTTATTTGAATTCCCGCTTCCAACGAAATCCTTCAAGCTATCCAAATATCCACTTGCTGATTCCACAAAAAGAGTGTTTCAAAACTGCTCTCTATCAATGGCAAAGTTCAACTCTGTTAGTTGAGGACACATATCACCAACAAGTTTCTGAGAATGCTTCTGTCTATTTTTTATGGGAAGATATTTCCTTTTTCACCGTAGGCGTCAAGGCGATCGAAATGTCCACTTCCACAAACTACAAAAAGAGTGTTTCAAACGTGCTCTATGAAAGGCGATGTTCATCTCTATGAGTTGAATGGAAATATCCGAAAGAAATTTACTGGGAATGCTGCTGTCTAGTTTTTATACGAATTCCCGCTTCCAACGAAATCCTCAAAGCAATCCAAATATCCTCTTGCAGAATCCACAAAAAGAGTGTTTCAAAACTGCTCTATCAATAGAAAGGTTCAACTCTTTTAGTTGAGTACACACATCACAAACAAGTTTCTGAGAATGCCTCTGTCTGGCTTTTATTGGAAGACGTTTCCTTTTCACCAAAGGCATCAAAGCGCTCCAAATGTCCACTTCCAGATTCTTCCAAAAGAGTGTTTCAAACGTGCTCGAAGTAAGGGAATGTTCTACTCTGTGACTTGAATGCAGATATCACCAAGTAGTTTACTAATAGTGCTTTCTGTCTAGATTTTAGATGATGATATTCCCGTTTCCAACGAAATCGTTAGAGCTATTCAATAATGCACTTACAGTTTCTACAAAAAGAGTGTTTCCAAACTGCTGCATCAAAAGAAAGGTTCAACTCTGTTAGTTGAGGACACACATCACAAAGAAGTTTGTGAGAATGCTTCTGTCCAGATTTTGTATGACGATATTCCCTTTTCCAACGATATCGTTAAAGCAATCTAAATATCAATTTCCAGAATCCAGAAAAATAGAGTTTCAAAGCTGCTCTGTAAAAAGAAAGGTTCCACTCTGTTAGCTGAGTACACACATCACAAACTTGTTTCTGAGAATCCTTCTGTCTCGTTTTTATGGGAAGATATTTACTTTTTCACCGTAGGCATCAAAGCGCTCCAAATGTCCACATCCAGATACTCCAGAAAGAGTGTTTCAAACCTCCTCTATGAAAGGGAATCTTCAACTCTATGAGTTGAATGCAGACATCAGACAGAAATTTCTGAGAATGCTGCTGTCTACCTTTTATTTGAATTCCTGCTTCCAACGAAATCCTCCAAGCTATCCAAATATCCACTTGCATTTTCCACAAAAAGAGTGTTTCAAAACTGCTCTATCAATACAAATGTTCAACTCCTTTAGCTGGGTACACACATCACAAACAAGTTTCTGAGAATGCTTCTGTCTATTTTTTATGGGAAGATATTTCCTTTTTCACCGTAGGCATCAAGGCGATCGAAATGTCCACTTCCACAAACTACAAAAAGAGTGTTTCAATATGAAAGGCCATGTTCATCTCTATGTGTTGAATGGAAATATCCAAAAGAAATTTCTGGGAATGCTGCTGTCTAGTGTTTATACGAATTCCCGCTTCCAACGAAATCCTCAAAGCAATCCAAATATCCACTTGCAGAATCCACAAAAAGAGTGTTTCAAAACTGCTCTATCAATAGAAAGGTTCAACTCTTTTAGTTGAGTACACACATCACGAACAAGTTTCTGCGAATGCTTCTGTCTGGCTTTTATTGGAAGACGTTTCCTTTTCACCAAAGGCATCAAAGCGCTGCAAATGTCCACTTCCAGATTCTTCCAAAAGAGTGTTTCAAACGTGCTCAAAGTAAGGGAATGCTCAACTCT
This sequence comes from Homo sapiens, assembly GCF_000001405.40. Lineage (NCBI taxonomy): Eukaryota > Metazoa > Chordata > Mammalia > Primates > Hominidae > Homo > Homo sapiens. The sequence goes on along the minus strand of NC_000014.9, from coordinate 17,564,771 downwards.
GTGACTTGAATGCAGATATCACCAAGTAGTTTCTAATAGTGCTTCTGTCTACATTTTAGATGATGATATTCCCGTTTCCAACGAAATCGCTAGAGCTATCCAAATATCCAGTTACAGTTTCTACCAAAAGGGTGTTTCCAAATTGCTGCATCAAAAGAAAGGTTCAACTCTGTTAGTTGAGGACACACATCACAAAGAAGTTTGTGAGAATGCTTTCTGTCTAGATTTTGTATGACGATATTCCCTTTTCCAACGATATCGTTAAAGCAATCTAAATATCAATTTGCATAATCCACAAAAATAGAGTTTCCAAGCTGCTCTGTAAAAAGAAAGGTTCCACTCTGTTAGCTGAGTACACACATCACAAACTTGTTTCTGAGAATCCTTCTGTCTCGTTTTTATGGGAACATATTTAGTTTTTCACCGTAGGCATCAAAGCGGTCCAAATGTCCACATCCAGATACTCCAGAAAGAGTGTTTCAAACCTGCTCTATGAAAGGGAATCTTCAACTCTATGAGTTGAATGCACACATCAGAAAGAAATTTCTGAGAATGTTTCTTCAATTTTTTATGGGAAGACATTTCCTTTTTCACCGTAGGCGTCAAAGCGCTCCAAATGTCCACATCCAGATAGTACAGAAAGAGTGTTTCAAACCTGCTCTATTAAAGGGAATGTTCAACTCTATGAGTTGAATGCAAACATCAGAAATAAATTTCTGAGAATGCTTCTGTCTATTTTTTATGGGAAGATATTTCCTTTTTCAGCGTAGGCGTCAAGGCGATCGAAATGTCCACTTCCACAAACTACAAAAAGAGTGTTTCAAACCTGCTCTATGAAAGGCCATGTTCATCTCTATGAGTTGAATGGAAATATCCGAAAGAAATTTCTGGGAATGCTGCTGTCTAGTGTTTATACGAATTCCCGCTTCCAACGAAATCCTCAAAGCAATCCAAATATCCACTTGCAGAATCCACAAAAAGAGTGTTTCAAAACTGCTCTATCAATAGAAAGGTTCAACTCTTTTAGTTGAGTACACACATCAGGAACAAGTTTCTGAGAATGCTTCTGTCTGGCTTTTATTGGAAGACGTTTCCTTTTCACCAAAGGCATCAAAGCGCTCCAAATGTCCACTTCGAGATTCTTCCAAAAGAGTGTTTCAAACGTGCTCAAAGTAAGGGAATGTTCAACTCTGTGACTTGAATGCAGATATCACCAAGTAGTTTCTAATAGTGCTTCTGTCTACATTTTAGATGATGATATTCCCTTTTCCAAGGAAATCGTTAGAGCTATCCAAATATCCAGTTACAGTTTCTACCAAAAGGGTGTTTCCAAATTGCTGCATCAAAAGAAAGGTTCAACTCTGTTAGTTGAGGACACACATCACAAAGAAGTTTGTGAGAATGCTTCTGTCTAGATTTTGTATGACGATATTCCCTTTTCCAACGATATCGTTAAAGCAATCTAAATATCAATTTGCAGAATCCACAAAAATAGAGTTTCAAAGCTGCTCTGTAAAAAGAAAGGTTCCACTCTGTTAGCTGAGTACACACATCACAAACTTGTTTCTGAGAATCCTTTCTGTCTCGTTTTTATGGGAAGATATTTACTTTTCCACCGTAGGCATCAAAGCGCTCCAAATGTCCACATCCGGATACTCCAGAACGAGTGTTTCAAACCTGCTCTATGAAAGGGAATCTTCAACTCTATGAGTTGAATGCAGACATCAGAAAGAAATTTCTGAGAATGCTGCTGTCTACCTTTTATTTGAATTCCCGCTTCCAACGAAATCCTCCAAGCTATCCAAATATCCACCTGCATTTTCCACAAAAAGAGTGTTTCAAAACTGCTCTATCAATAGAAATGTTCAACTCCTTTGGCTGGGTACACACATCACAAACAAGTTCTGAGCATGCTTCTGTCTAGTTTTTATGGGAAGACGTTCCCTTTTTCACCAAAGGCATCAAAGCGCTCCAAATGTCCACTTCCAGACACTACAAAAAGAGTGTTTCCAACGTGCTCTAAGAAAGCGAATGTTCAACTCTGTGACTTGAATGCAGATATCACAAAGTAGTTTCTGAGAGGGCTTCTATCTAGATTTTAGATGATGATATTCCCGTTTCCAACGAAATCATTAGAGCTATCCAAATATCCACTTACAGTTTCTACAAAAAGAGTGTTTCCAAACTGCTGCATCCAAAGAGAGGTTCCACTCTGTTAGCTGAGTACACACATCACAAACTTGTTTCTCAGAATCCTTCTGTCTCGTTTTTATGGGAAGATATTTACTTTTTCACCGTAGGCATCAAAGCGCTCCAAATGTCCACATCCAGATACTCCAGAAAGAGTGTTTCAAACCTGCTCTATGAAAGGGAAACTTCAACTCTATGAGTTGAATGCAGACATCAGAAAGAAATTTCTGAGAATGCTGCTGTCTACCTTTTATTTGAATTCCCGCTTCCAACGAAATCCTCCAAGCTATGCAAATATCCACTTGCAGATTCCACAAAAAGAGTGTTTCAAAACTGCTCTCTATCAATGGCAAAGTTCAACTCTGTTAGTTAAGGACACATATCACCAACAAGTTTCTGAGAATGCTTCTGTCTATTTTTTATGGGAAGATATTTCCTTTTTCACCGTAGGCGTCAAGGCGATCGAAATGTCCACTTCCACAAACTACAAAAAGAGTGTTTCAAACCTGCTCTATGAAAGGCCATGTTCATCTCTATGAGTTGAATGGAAATATCCGAAAGAAATTTCTGGGAATGCTGCTGTCTAGTGTTTATACGAATTCCCGCTTCCAACGTAATCCTCAAAGCAATCCAAATATCCACTTGCAGAATCCACAAAAAGAGTGTTTCAAAACTGCTCTATCAATAGAAAGGTTCAACTCTTTTAGTTGAGTACACACATCACGAACAAGTTTCTGAGAATGCTTCTGTCTGGCTTTTATTGGAAGACGTTTCCTTTTCACCAAAGGCATCAAAGCGCTCCAAATGTCCACTTCCAGATTCTTCCAAAAGAGTGTTTGAAACGTGCTCAAAGTAAGAGAATGTTCAACTCTGTGACTTGAATGCAGATATCACCAAGTAGTTTCTAATAGTGCTTCTGTCTAGATTTTAGATGATGATATTCCCGTTTCCAACGAAATCGTTAGAAGCTATCCAAATATCCACTTACAGTTGCTACAAAAACAGTGTTTCCAAACTGCTGCATCAAAAGAAAGGTTCAACTCTGTTAGTTGAGGACACACGTCACAAAGAAGTTTGTGAGAATGCTTCTGTCTAGATTTTGTATGACGATATTCCCTTTTCCAACGATATCGTTAAAGCAATCTAAATATCAATTTGCAGAATCCACAAAAATAGAGTTTCAAAGCTGCTCTGTAAAAAGAAAGGTTTCACTCTGTTAGCTGAGTACACACATCACAAACTTGTTTCTGAGAATCCTTCTGTCTCGTTTTTATGGGAAGATATTTACTTTTTCACCGTAGGCATCAAAGCGCTCCAAATGTCCACATCCAGATACTCCAGAAAGAGTGTTTCAAACCTGCTCTATGAAAGGGAACCTTCAAGTCTATGAGTTGAATGCAGACATCAGAAAGAAATTTCTGAGAATGCTGCTGTCTACCTTTTATTTGAATTCCCGCTTCCAACGAAATCCTCCAAGGTATCCAAATATCCACTTGCATTTTCCACAACAAGAGTGTTTCAAAACTGCTCTATCAATAGAAATGTTCAACTCCTTTGGCTGGGTACACACATCACAAACAAGTTTCTGAGAATGCTTCTGTCTAGTTTTTATGGGTAGACATTCCCTTTTTCACCAAAGGAATCAAAGCGCTCCAAATGTCCACTTCCAGACACTACAAAAAGAGTGTTTCAAACGTGCTCTAAGAAAGCGAATGTTCAACTCTGTGACTTGAATGCAGATATCACACAGTAGTTTTTGAGAGTGCTTCTGTCTAGATTTTAGATGATGATATTCCCGTTTCCAACGAAATCATTAGAGCTATCCAAATATCCACTTACAGTTTCTACAAAAAGAGTGTTTCCAAACTGCTGCATCAAAAGAGAGGTTCCACTCTGTTAGGTGAGTACACACATCACAAACTTGTTTCTGAGAATCCTTCTGTCTCGTTTTTATGGGAAGATATTTACTTTTTCACCGTAGGCATCAAAGCACTCCAAATGTCCACATCCAGATACTACAGAAAGAGTATTTCAAACCTGCTCTATGAAAGGGAATGTTCAACTCTATGAGTTGAATGCAGATCTCAGAAAGAAATTTCTGAGAATGCTGCTGTCTACCTTTTATTTGAATTCCCGCTTCCAACGAAATCCTCCAAGCTATCCAAATATCCACTTGCAGATTCAGGAAAAAGAGTGTTTCAAAACTGCTCTCTATCAATGACAAAGTTCAACTCTGTTAGTTGAGGACACATATCACCAACAAGTTTCTGAGAATGCTTCTGTCTATTTTTTATGGGAAGATATTTCCTTTTTCACCATAGGCGTCAAGGCGATCGAAATATCCACTTCCACAAACTACAAAAAGAGTGTTTCAAACCTGCTCTATGAAAGGCGATGTTCATCTCTATGAGTTGAATGGAATTATCCGAAAGAAATTTCTGGGAATGCTGCTGTCTAGTTTTTATACGAATTCCCGCTTCCAACGAAATCCTCAAAGCAATCCAAATATCCACTTGCAGAATCCACAAAAAGAGTGTTTCAAAACTGCTCTATCAATAGAAAGGTTCAACTCTTTTAGTTGAGTACACACATCACGAACAAGTTTCTCAGAATGCTTCTGTCTGGCTTTTATTGGAAGACGTTTCCTTTTCACCAAAGGCATCAAAGCGCTCCAAATGTCCACTTCCAGATTCTTCCAAAAGAGTGTTTCAAACGTGCTCAAAGTAAGGGAATGTTCAACTCTGTGACTTGAATGCAGATATCACCAAGTAGTTTCTAATAGTGCTTCTGTCTAGATTTTAGATGATGATATTCCCGTTTCCAACGAAATCGTTAGAGCTATCCAAATATCCACTTACAGTTTCTACAAAAAGGGTGTTTCCAAACTGCTGCATCAAAAGAAAGGTTCAACTCTGTTAGTTGAGGACACACATCACAAAGAAGTTTGTGAGAATGCTTCTGTCTAGATTTTGTATGACGATATTCCCTTTTCCAACGATATCGTTAAAGCAATCTAAATATCAATTTGCAGAATCCACAAAAATAGAGTTTCAAAGCTGCTCTGTAAAAAGAAAGGTTCCACTCTGTTAGCTGAGTACACACATCAAAAACTTGTTTCTGAGAATCCTTCTGTCTCGTTTTTATGGGAAGATGTTTACTTTTCCACCGTAGGCATCAAAGCGCTCCAAATGTCCACATCCAGATACTCCAGAACGAGTGTTTCAAACCTGCTCTATGAAAGGGAATCTTCAACTCTATGAGTTGAATGCAGACATCAGAAAGAAATTTCTGAGAATGCTGCTGTCTACCTTTTATTTGAATTCCCGCTTCCAACGAAATCCTCCAAGCTATCCAAATATCCACCTGCATTTTCCACAAAAGGAGCGTTTCAAAACTGCTCTATCAATAGAAATGTTCAACTCCTTTGGCTGGGTACACACATCACAAACAAGTTTCTGAGAATGCTTCTGTCTAGTTTTTATGGGAAGACATTCCCTTTTTCACCGTAGGCGTCAAGGCGATCGAAATGTCCACTTCCACAAACTACAAAAAGAGTGTTTCAAACCTGCTCTATGAAAGGCCATGTTCATCTCTATGAGTCGAATGGAAATATCCGAAAGAAATTTCTGGGAATGCTTCTGTCTAGATTTTAGATGATGATATTCCCGTTTCCAACGAAATCATTAGAGCTATCCAAATATCCACTTACAGTTTCTACAAAAAGAGTGTTTCCAAACTGCTGCGTCAAAAGAGAGGTTCCACTCTGTTAGCTGAGTACACACATCACAAACTTGTTTCTGAGAATACTTCAGTTTTTTATGGGAAGACATTTCCTTTTTCACCGTAGGCGTCAAAGCGCTCCAAATGTCCACATCCGGACAGTACAGAAAGAGTGTTTCAAACCTGCTCTATTAAAGGGAATGTTCAACTCTATGAGTTGAATGCAAACATCAGAAAGAAATTTCTGAGAATGCTGCTGTCTACCTTTTATTTGAATTCCCGCTTCCAACGAAATCCTCCTATCTATCCAAACATCCACCTGCATTTTCCACAAAAAGAGTGTTTCAAAACTGCTCTATCAATAGAAACGTTCAACTCCTTTAGCTGGGTACACACATTACAAACAAGTTTCTGAGAATGCTTCTGCCTAGTTTTTATGGGAAGACATTCCCTTTTTCACCAAAGGCATCAAAGCGCTCCAAATGTCCACTTCCAGACACTACAAAAAGAGTGTTTCAAACGTGCTCTAAGAAAGCGAATGTTCAACTCTGTGACTTGAATGCAGATATCACAAAGTAGTTTCTGAGAGTGCTTCTGTCTAGATTTTAGGTGATGATATTCCCGATTCCAACGAAATCATTAGAGCTATCCAAATATCCACTTACAGTTTCTACAAAAAGAGTGTTTCCAAACTGCTGCATCAAAAGAGAGGTTCCACTCTGTTAGCTGAGTACACACATCACAAACTTGTTTCTCAGAATCCTGCTGTCTACCTTTTATTTGAATTCCCGCTTCCAACGAAATCCTCCAAGCTATCCATATATCCACTTGCAGATTCAGGAAAAAGAGTGTTTCAAAACTGCTCTCTATCAATGGCAAAGTTCAACTCTGTTAGTTGAGGACACATATCACCAACAAGTTTCTGAGAATGCTTCTGTCTTTTTTTTATGGGAAGATATTTCCTTTTTCACCGTAGGCGTCAAGGCGATCGAAATGTCCACTTCCACAAACTACAAAAAGAGTGTTTCAAACCTGCTCTATGAAAGGCCATGTTCTTCTCTATGAGTTGAATGGAAATATCCGAAAGAAATTTCTGGGAATGCTGCTGTCTAGTTGTTATACGAATTCCCGCTTCCAACGAAATCCTCAAAGCAATCCAAATATCCACTTGCAGAATCCACAAAAAGAGTGTTTCAAAACTGCTCTATCAATAGAAAGGTTCAACTCCTTTTAGTTGAGTACACACATCACAAACAAGTTTCTGAGAATGCTTCTGTCTGGCTTTTATTGGAAGACGTTTCCTTTTCACCAAAGGCATCAAAGCGCTCCAAATGTCCACTTCCAGATTCTTCCAAAAGAGTGTTTCAAACGTGCTCAAAGTAAGGGAATGTTCAACTCTGTGACTTGAATGCAGATATCACCAAGTAGTTTGCTAATAGTGCTTCTGTCTACATTTTAGATGATGATATTCCCGTTTCCAACGAAATCGTTAGAGTTATCCAAATATCCAGTTACAGTTTCTACCAAAAGGGTGTTTCCAAATTGCTGCATCAAAAGAAAGGTTCAACTCTGTTAGTTGAGGACACACATCACAAAGAAGTTTGTGAGAATGCTTCTGTCTAGATTTTGTATGAAGATATTCCCTTTTCCAACGATATTGTTAAATCAACCCAAATATCAATTTGCAGAATCCACAGAAATAGAGTTTCAAAGCTGCTCTGTAAAAAGAAAGGATCCACTCTGTTAGCTGAGTACACACATCACAAACTTGTTTCTGAGAATCCTTCTTCAATTTTTTATGGGAAGACATTTCCTTTTTCACCGTAGGCGTCAAAGCGCTCCAAATGTCCACATCCAGATAGTACAGAAAGAGTGTTTCAAACCTGCTCTATTAAAGGGAATGTTCAACACTATGAGTTGAATGCAAACATCAGAAAGAAATTTCTGAGAATGCTGCTGTCTACCTTTTATTTGAATTCCCTCTTCCAACGAAAACCTCCAAGCTATCCAAATATCCACTTGCAGATTCCACAAAAAGAGTGTTTCAAAACTGCTCTATCAATAGAAATGTTCAACTCCTTTCGCTGGGTACACACATCACAAACAAGTTTCTGAGAATGCTTCTGTCTAGTTTTTATGGAAAGACATTCCCTTTTTCACCAAAGGCATCAAAGCGCTCCAAATGTCCACTTCCAGACACTACAAAAAGAGTGTTTCAAACGTGCTCTAAGAAAGCGAATGTTCAACTCTGTGACTTGAATGCAGATATCACAAAGAAGTTTCTGAGAGTGCTTCTGTCTAGATTTTAGATGATGATATTCCCGTTTCCAACGAAATCATTAGAGCTATCCAAATATACACTTACAGTTTCTACAAAAAGAGTGTTTCCAAACTGCTGCATCAAAAGAGAGGTTCCACTCTGTTAGCTGAGTACACACATCACAAACTTGTTTCTCAGAATCCTTCTGTCTCGTTTTTATGGGAAGATATTTACTTTTCCACCGTAGGCATCAAAGCGCTCCAAATGTCCACATCCAGATACTCCAGAAAGAGTGTTTCAAACCTGCTCTATGAAAGGGAATCTTCAACTCTATGAGTTGAATGCAGACATCAGAAAGAAATTTCTGAGAATGCTGCTGTCTACCTTTTATTTGAATTCCCGCTTCCAACGAAATCCTCCAAGCTATCCAAATATCCACTTGCAGATTCCACAAAAAGAGTGTTTCCAAACTGCTCTCTATCAATGGCAAAGTTCAACTCTGTTAGTTGAGGACACATATCACCAACAAGTTTCTGAGAATGCTTCTGTCTATTTTTTATGGGAAGATATTTCCTTTTTCACCGTAGGCATCAAAGCGATCGAAATGTCCACTTCCACAAACTACAAAAAGAGTGTTTCAAACCTGCTCTATGAAAGGCGATGTTCATCTCTATGAGTTGAATGGAAATATCCGAAAGAAATTTCTGGGAATGCTGCTGTCTAGTTTTTATATGAATTCCCGCTTCCAACGAAATCCTCAAAGCAATCCAAATATCCACTTGCAGAATCCACAAAAAGAGTGTTTCAAAACTGCTCTATCAATAGAAAGGTTCAACTCTTTTAGTTGAGTACACACATCACAAACAAGTTTCTGAGAATGCTTCTGTCTGGCTTTTATTGGAAGACGTTTCCTTTTCACCAAAGGCATCAAAGCGCTCCAAATGTCCACTTCCAGATTCTTCCAAAAGAGTGTTTCAAACGTGCTCGAAGTAAGGGAATGCTCTACTCTGTGACTTGAATGCAGATATCACCAAGTAGTTTCTAATAGTGCTTCTGTCTAGATTTTAGATGATGATATTCCCGATTCCAACGAAATCGTTAGAGCTATCCAAATATCCAGTTACAGTTTCTACCAAAAGGGTGTTTCCAAATTGCTGCATCAAAAGAAAGGTTCAACTCTGTTAGTTGAGGACACACATCACAAAGAAGTTTGTGAGAATGCTTCTGTCTAGATTTTGTATGACCATATTCCCTTTTCCAACGATATCGTTAAAGCAATCTAAATATCAATTTGCAGAATCCACAAAAATAGAGATTCAAAGCTGCTCTGTAAAAAGAAAGGTTCCACTCTGTTAGCTGAGTACACACATCACAAACTTGTTTCTGAGAATCCTGCTGTCTACCTTTTATTTGAATTCCCGCTTCCAACGAAATCCTCCAAGCTATCCAAATATCCACTTGCATTTTCCATAAAAAGAGTGTTTCAAAACTGCTCTATCAATAGAAATGTTCAACTCCTTTGGCTGGGTACACACATCACAAACAAGTTTCTGAGAATGCTTCTGTCTAGTTTTTATGGGAAGACGTTCCCTTTTTCACCAAAGGCATCAAAGCGCTCCAAATGTCCACTTCCAGACACTACAAAAAGAGTGTTTCCAACGTGCCCTAAGAAAGCGAATGTTCAACTCTGTGACTTGAATGCAGATATCACAAAGTAGTTTCTGAGAGGGCTTCTGTCTAGATTTTAGATGATGATATTCCCATTTCCAACGAAATCATTAGAGCTATCCAAATATCCACTTACAGTTTCTACAAAAAGAGTGTTTCCAAACTGCTGCATCAGAAGAGAGGTTCCACTCTGTTAGCTGTGTACACACATCACAAACTTGTTTCTGAGAATCCTTCTGTCTCGTTTTTATGGGAAGATATATACTTTTTCACCGTAGGCATCAAAGCGCTCCAAATGTCCACATCCAGATACTCCAGAAAGAGTGTTTCAAACCTGCTCTATGAAAGGGAATCTTCAACTCTACGAGTTGAATGCAGACATCAGAAAGAAATTTCTGAGAATGCTGCTGTCTACCTTTCATTTGAATTCCCGCTTCCAACGAAATCCTCCAGTCTATCCAAATATCCACTTGCAGATTCCACAAAAAGAGTGTTTCTAAACTGCTCTATCAATGGCAAGGTTCAACTCTGTCAGTTGAGGATACACATCACAAACAAGTTTCTGAGAATTCTTCTGTCTATTTTTTATGGGAAGATATTTCCTTTTTCACTGTAGGCGTCAAGGCGATCGAAATGTCCACTTCCACAAACTACAAAAAGAGTGTTTCAAACCAGCTCTATGAAAGGCGATGTTCATCTCAATGAGTTGAATGGAAATATCCGAAAGAAATTTCTGGGAATGCTGCTGTCTAGTGTTTATACGAATTCCCGATTCCAACGAAATCCTCAAAGCAATCCAAATATCCACTTGCAGAATCCACAAAAAGAGTGTTTCAAAACTGCTCTATCAATAGAAATGTTCAACTCTTTTAGTTGAGTACACACATCACGAACAAGTTTCTGAGAATGCTTCTGTCTGGCTTTTATTGGAAGACGTTTCCTTTTCACCAAAGGCATCAAAGCGCTCCATATGTCCACTTCCAGATTCTTCCAAAAGACTGTTTCAAACGTGCTCAAAGTAAGGGAATGTTCAACTCTGTGACTTGAATGCAGATATCACCAAGTAGTTTCTAATAGTGCTTCTGTCTAGATTTTAGATGATGATATTCCCGTTTCCAACGAAATCGTTAGAGCTATCCAAATATCCACTTACAGTTGCTACAAAAACAGTGTTTCCAAACTGCTGCATCAAAAGAAAGGTTCAACTCTGTTAGTTGAGGACACACATCACAAAGAAGTTTGTGAGAATGCTTCTGTGTAGATTTTCTATGACGATATTCTCATTTCCAACGATATCGTTAAAGCAATCTAAATATCAATTTGCAGAATCCACAAAAATAGAGTTTCAAAGCTGCTCTGTAAAAAGAAAGGTTCTACTCTTTTAGCTGAGTACACACATCACAAACTTGTTTCTGAGAATCCTTCTGTCTCGTTTTTATGGGAAGATATTTACTTTTTCACCGTAGGCATCAAAGCGCTTCAAATGTCCACATCCAGATACTCCAGAAAGACTGTTTCAAACCTGCTCTATGAAAGGGAATCTTCAACTCTATGAGTTGAATGCAGACATCAGAAAGAAATTTCTGAGAATGCTGCTGTCTACCTTTTATTTGAATTCCCGCTTCCAACGAAATCCTCCAAGCTATCCAAATATCCACTTGCAGATTCCACAAAAAGAGTGTTTCAAAACTGCTCTCTATCAATGGCAAAGTTCAACTCTGTTAGTTGAGGACCCATATCACCAACAAGTTTCTGAGAATGCTTCTGTCTATTTTTTATGGGAAGATATTTCCTTTTTCACCGTATGCGTCGAGGCGATCGAAATGTCCACTTCCACAAACTACAAAAAGAGTGTTTCAAACCTGCTCTATGAAAGGCCATGTTCATCTCTATGAGTTGAATGGAAATATCCGAAAGAAATTTCTGGGAATGCTGCTGTCTAGGTTTTATACGAATTCCCGCTTCCAACGAAATCCTCAAAGCAATCCAAATATCCACTTGCAGAATCCACAAAAAGAGTGTTTCAAAACTGCTCTATCAATAGTAAGGTTCAACTCTTTTAGTTGAGTACACACATCACAAACAAGTTTCTGAGAATGCTTCTCTCTGGCTTTTATTGGAAGACGTTTCCTTTTCACCAAAGGCATCAAAGTGCTCCAAATGTCCACTTCCAGATTCTTCCAAAAGAGTGTTTCAAACGTGCTCAAAGTAAGGGAATGTTCAACTCTGTGACTTGAATACAGATATCACCAAGTAGTTTCTAATAGTGCTTCTGTCTAGATTTTAGATGATGATATTCCCGTTTCCAACGAAATCGTTAGAGCTATCCAAATATCCAGTTACAGTTTCTACCAAAAGGGTGTTTCCAAATTGCTGCATCAAAAGAAAGGTTCAACTCTGTTAGTTGAGGACACACATCATAAAGAAGTTTGTGAGAATGCTTCTGTCCAGATTTTGTATGACGATATTCCCTTTTCCAACGATATCGTTAAAGCAATCTAAATATCCATTTGCAGAATCCACAAAAATAGAGTTTCAAAGCTGCTCTGTCAAAAGAAAGGTTCCACTCTGTTAGCTGAGTACACACATCACAAACTTGTTTCTGAGAATCCTTCTTCAATTTTTTATGGGAAGACATTTCCTTTTTCACCGTAGGCGTCAAAGCGCTCCAAATGTCCACATCCAGATAGTAAAGAAAGAATGTTTCAAACCTGCTCTATTAAAGGGAATGTTCAACTCTATGAGTTGAATGCAAACATCAGAAAGAAATTTCTGAGAATGCTGCTGTCTACCTTTTATTTGAATTCCCGCTTCCAACGAAATCCTCCAAGCTATCCAAATATCCACTTGCAGATTCCACAAAAAGAGTGTTTCAAAACTGCTCTCTATCAATGGCAAAGTTCAACTCTGTTAGTTGAGGACACATATCACCAACAAGTTTTTGAGAATGCTTCTGTCTATTTTTTATGGGAAGATATTTCCTTTTTCACCGTAGGCGTCAAGGCGATCGAAATGTCCACTTCCACAAACTACAAAAAGAGTGTTTCAAACCTGCTCTATGAAAGGCCATGTTCATCTCTATGAGTTGAATGGAAATATCCGAGAGAAATTTCTGGGAATGCTGCTGTCTAGTGTTTATACGAATTCCCGCTTCCAACGAAATCCTCAAAGTAATCCAAATATCCACTTGCAGAATCCACAAAAAGAGTGTTTCAAAACTGCTCTATCAATAGAAAGGTTCAACTCTTTTAGTTGAGTACACACATCACAAACAAGTTTCTGAGAATGCTTCTGTCTGGCTTTTATTGGAAGACGTTTCCTTTTCACCAAAGGCATCAAAGCGCTGCAAATGTCCACTTCCAGATTCTTCCAAAAGAGTGTTTCAAACGTGCTCAAAGTAAGGGAATGTTCAACTCTGTGACTTGAATGCAGATATCACCAAGTAGTTTGCTAATAGTGCTTCTGTCTAGATTTTACATGATGATATTCCCGTTTCCAACGAAATCATTAGAGCTATCCAAATATCCAGTTACAGTTTCTACAAAAAGAGTGTTTCCAAACTGCTGCATCAAAAGAAAGGTTCAACTCTGTTAGTTGAGGACACACATCACAAAGAAGTTTGTGAGAATCCTTCTGTCTAGATTTTGTATGACGATATTCCCTTTTCCAACGATATCGTTAAAGCAATCTAAATATCAATTTGCAGAATCCACAAAAATAGAGTTTCAAAGCTGCTCTGTAAAAAGAAAGGTTACACTCTGTTAGCTGAGTACACACATCACAAACATGTTTCTCAGAATCCTTCTGTCTCGTTTTTATGGGAAGATATTTACTTTTTCACCGTAGGCATCTAAGCGCTCCAAATGTCCACATCCAGATACTCCAGAAAGACTGTTTCAAACCTGCTCTATGAAAGGGAATCTTCAACTCTATGAGTTGAATGCAGACATCAGAAAGAAATTTCTGAGAATGCTGCTGTCTACCTTTTATTTGAATTCCCGCTTCCAACGAAATCCTCCAAGCTATCCAAATATCCACCTGCATTTTCCACAACAAGAGTGTTTCAAAACTGCTCTATCAATAGAAATGTTCAACTCCTTTGGCTGGGTACACACATCACAAACAAGTTTCTGAGAATACTTCTGTCTACTTTTTAAGGGAAGACATTTCCTTTTTCACCAAAGGCATCAAAGTGCTCCAAATGTCCACTTCCAGATTCTACAAAAAGAGTGTTTCAAACCTGCTCTAAGTAAGGGAGTTTTCAACTCTGTGACTGGAATGCAGATATCACAAAGTAGTTTCTGAGACTGCTTCTGTCTAGATTTTACATGATGATATTCCCGTTTCCAACGAAATCATTAGAGCTATCCAAATATCCAGTTACAGTTTCTACAAAAAGAGTGTTTCCAAACTGCTGCATCAAAAGAGAGGTTCCACTCTGTTAGCTGAGTACACACATCACAAACTTCTTTCTGAGAATCCTTCTGTCTAGGTTTTATGGGAAGATATTTACTTTTTCACCGTAGGCATCAAAGCGTTCCAAATGTCCACATCCAGATAGTACAGAAAGAGTGTTTCAAACCTGCTCTATGAAAGGGAATGTTCAACTCTATGAGTTGAATGCAAACATCACAAAGAAATTTCTGAGAATGCTGCTGTCTACCTTTTATTTGAATTCCCGCTTCCAACGAAATCCTCCAAGCTATCCAAATATCCACTTGCAGATTCCACAAAAAGAGTGTTTCAAAACTGCTCTCTATCAATGGCAAAGTTCAACTCTGTTAGTTGAGGACACATATCACCAGCAAGTTTCTGAGAATGCTTCTGTCTATTTTTTATGGGAAGATATTTCCTTTTTCACCGTAGGCGTCAAGGCGATCGAAATGTCCACTTCCACAAACTACAAAAAGAGTGTTTCAAACCTGCTCTATGAAAGGCCATGTTCATCTCTATGAGTTGAATGGAAATATCCGAAAGAAATTTCTGGAAATGCTGCTGTCTAGTTTTTATACGAATTCCCGCTTCCAACGAAATCCTCAAAGCAATCCAAATATCCACTTGCAGAATCCACAAAAAGAGTGTTTCAAAACTGCTCTATCAATAGAAAGGTTCAAATCTTTTGGTTGAGTACACACATCATGAACAAGTTTCTGAGAATGCTTCTGTCTGGCTTTTATTGGAAGACGTTTCCTTTTCACCAAAGGCATCAAAGCGCTGCAAATGTCCACTTCCAGATTCTTCCAAAAGAGTGTTTCAAACGTGCTCAAAGTAAGGGAATGTTCAACTCTGTGACTTGAATGCAGATATCACCAAGTAGTTTCTAATAGTGCTTTCTGTCTAGATTTTAGATGATGATATTCCCGTTTCCAACGAAATCGTTAGAGCTATCCAAATATCCACTTACAGTTTCTACCAAAAGTGTGTTTCCAAACTGCTGCATCAAAAGAAAGGTTCAACTCTGTTAGTTGAGGACACACATCACATACAAGTTTCTGAGAAAGCTTTTGTCTAGATTTTGTGTGACCATATTCCCTTTTCCAACGATATCGTTAAAGCAATCTAAATATCAATTTGCAGAATCCACAAAAATAGAGTTTCAAAGCTGCTCTTTAAAAAGAAGGGTTCCACTCTGTTAGCTGAGTACACACATCACAAACTTGTTTCTGAGAAACCTTCTTCAATTTTTTATGGGAAGACATTTCCTTTTTCACCGTAGGCGTCAAAGCGCTCCAAATGTCCACATCCACATAGTACAGAAAGAGTGTTTCAAACCTGCTCTATTAAAGGGAATGTTCAACTCTATGAGTTGAATGCAAACATCACAAAGAAATTTCTGAGAATGCTCCTGTCTACCTTTTATTTGAATTCCCGCTTCCAACGAAATCCTCCAAGCTATCCAAATATCCACTTGCATTTTCCACAAAAAGAGTGTTTCAAAACTGCTCTATCAATGGAAATGTTCAACTCCTTTAGCTGGGTACACACATCACAAACAAGTTTGCTGAGAATGCTTATCTGTCTAGTTTTTATGGGAAGACGTTCCCTTTTTCACCAAAGGCATCAAAGCGCTCCAAATGTCCACTTCCAGACACTATAAAAAGAGTGTTTCAAACGTGCTCTAAGAAAACGAATGTTCAACTCTGTGACTTGAATGCAGATATCACAAAGTAGTTTCTGAGAGGGCTTCTGTCTAGATTTTAGATGATGATATTCCCGTTTCCAACGAAATCATTAGAGCTATCCAAATATCCACTTACAGTTTCTACAAAAAGAGTGTTTCGAAACTGCTGCATCAAAAGAGAGGTTCCACTCTGTTAGCTGAGTACACACATCACAAACTTGTTTCTCAGAATCCTTCTGTGTCGTTTTTATGGGAAGATATTTACTTTTTCACCGTAGGCATCAAAGCGCTCCAAATGTCCACATCCAGATACTCCAGAAAGAGTGTTTCAAACCTGCTCTATGAAAGGGAATCTTCAACTCTATGAGTTGAATGCAGACATCAGAAAGAAATTTCTGAGAATGCTGCTGTCTACCTTTTATTTGAATTCCCGCTTCCAATGAAATCCCCCAGGCTATCCAAATATCCACTCGCAGATTCCACAAAAAGCGTGTTTCAAAACTGCTCTATCAATGGAAAGGTTCAACTCTGTCAGTTGAGGATACACATCACAAACAAGTTTCTGAGAATTCTTCTGTCTATTTTTTATGGGAAGATATTTCCTTTTTCACCGTAGGCATCAAGGCGATCGAAATGTCCACTTCCACAAACTACAAAAAGAGTGTTTCAAACCTGCTCTATGAAAGGCAATGTTCATCTCTATGAGTTGAATGGAAATATCCGAAAGAAATTTCTGGGAATGCTGCTGTCTAGTTTTTATACGAATTCCCGCTTCCAACGAAATCCACAAAGCAATCCAAATATCCACTTGCAGAATCCACATAAGAGAGTTTCAAAACTGCTCTATCAATACAAAGGTTCAACTCTTTTAGTTGAGTACACACATCACAAACAAGTTTCTGAGAATGCTTCTGTCTGGCTTTTATTGGAAGACATTTCCTTTTCACCAAAGGCATCAAAGCGCTCCAAATGTCCACTTCCAGATTCTTCCAAAAGAGTGTTTGAAACGTGCTCAAAGTAAGGGAATGTTCAACTCTGTGACTTGAATGCAGATATCACCAAGTAGTTTCTAATAGTGCTTCTGTCTAGATTTTAGATGATGATATTCCCGTTTCCAACGAAATCGTTAGAGCTATCCAAATATCCAGTTACAGTTTCAACCAAAAGGGTGTTTCCAAACTGCTGCATCAAAAGAAAGGTTCAACTCTGTTAGTTGAGGACACACATCACAAAGATGTTTGTGAGAATGCTTCTGTCTAGATTTTGTATGACGATATTCCCTTTTCCAACGATATCGTTAAAGCAATCTAAATATCAATTTGCAGAATCCACAAAAATAGAGTTTCCAAGCTGCTGTGTAAAAAGAAAGGTTCCACTCTGTTAGCTGAGTACACGCATCACAAACTTGTTTCTGAGAATCCTTCTGTCTCGTTTTTATGGGAAGATATTTACTTTCTCACCGTAGGCATCAAAGCGCTCCAAATGTCCACATCCAGATACTCCAGAAAGAGTGTTTCAAACTTGCTCTATGAAAGGGAATCTTCAACTCTATGAGTTGAATGCAGACATCAGAAAGAAATTTCTGAGAATGCTGCTGTCTACCTTTTATTTGAATTCCCGCTTCCAACGAAATCCTCGAAGCTATCCAAATATCCACTTGCATTTTCCACAACAAGAGTGTTTCAAAACTGCTCTATCAATAGAAATGTTCAACTCCTTTGGCTGGGTACACACATCACAAACAAGTTTCTGAGAATGCTTCTGTCTAGTTTTTATGGGAAGACATTCCCTTTTTCACCAAAGGCATCAAAGCGCTCCAAATGTCCACTTCCAGACACTACAAAAAGAGTGTTTCAAACGTGCTCTAAGAAAGCGAATGTTCAACTCTGTGACTTGAATGCAGATATCAAAAAGTAGTTTCTGAGAGGGCTTCTGTCTAGATTTTAGATGATGATATTCCCGTTTCCAACGAAATCATTAGAGCTATCCAAATATCCAGTTACAGTTTCTACAAAAAGAGTGTTTCCAAACTGCTGCATCAAAAGAGAGGTTCCACTCTGTTAGCTGAGTACACACATCACAAACTTGTTTCTCAGAATCCTGCTGTCTACCTTTTATTTGAATTCCCGCTTCCAACGAAATCCTCCAAGCTATCCAAATATCCACCTGCATTTTCCACAACAAGAGTGTTTCAAAACTGCTCTATCAATAGAAGTGTTCAACTCCTTTGGCTGGGTACACACATCACAAACAAGTTTCTGAGAATGCTTCTGTCTAGTTTTTATGGGAAGACGTTCCCTTTTTCACCAAAGGCATCAAAGCGCTCCAAATGTCCACTTCCATACACTACAAAAAGAGTGTTTCAAACGTGCTCTAAGAAAGCGAATGATCAACCCTGTGACTTGAATGCAGATATCACAAAGTAGTTTCTGAGAGGGCTTCTGTCTAGATTTTAGATGATGATATTCCCGTTTCCAACGAAATCATTAGAGCTATCCAAATATCCACTTACAGTTTCTACAAAAAGAGTGTTTCCAAACTGCTGCATCAAAAGAGAGGTTCCACTCTGTTAGCTGAGTACACACATCACAAACTTGTTTCTGAGAATCCTTCTGTCTAGCTTTTATGGGAAGATATTTACTTTTTCACCATAGGCATCAAAGCGTTCCAAATGTCCACATCCACATAGTACAGAAAGAGTGTTTCAAACCTGCTCTATGAAAGGGAATGTTCAACTCTATGAGTTGAATGCAAACATCACAAAGAAATTTCTGAGAATGCTGCTGTCTACCTTTCATTTGAATTCCCGCTTCCAACGAAATCCTCCAGGCTATCCAAATATCCACTTGCAGATTCCACAAAAAGTGTGTTTCTAAACTGCTCTATCAATGGCAAGGTTCAACTCTGTCAGTTGAGGATACACATCACAAACAAGTTTCTGAGAATTCTTCTGTCTATTTTTTATGGGAAGATATTTCCTTTTTCACCGTAGGCGTCAAGGCGATCGAAATGTCCACTTCCACAAACTACAAAAAGAGTGTTTCAAACCTGCTCTATGAAAGGCCATATTCATCTCTATGAGTTGAATGGAAATATCCGAAAGAAATTTCTGGGAATGCTGCTGTCTAGTGTTTATACGAATTCCCGCTTCCAACGAAATCCTCAAAGCAATCCAAATATCCACTTGCAGAATCCACAAAAAGAGTGTTTCAAAACTGCTCTATCAATAGAAAGGTTCAACTCTTTTAGTTGAGTACACACATCACGAACAAGTTTCTGAGAATGCTTCTGTCTGGCTTTTATTGGAAGACGTTTCCTTTTCACCAAAGGCATCAAAGCGCTCCAAATGTCCACTTCCAGATTCTTCCAAAAGAGTGTTTCAAACGTGTTCAAAGTAAGGGAATGTTCAACTCTGTGACTTGAATGCAGATATCACCAAGTAGTTTCTAATAGTGCTTCTGTCTAGATTTTAGATGATGATATTCCCGTTTCCAACGAAATCGTTAGAGCTATCCAAATATCCACTTACAGTTTCTACAAAAACAGTGTTTCCAAACTGCTGCATCAAAAGAAAAGTTCAACTGTGTTAGTTGAGGACACACATCACAAAGAAGTTTGTGAGAATGCTTCTCTCTAGATTTTGTATGACAATATTCCCTTTTCCAACGATATCGTTAAAGCAATCTAAATATCAATTTGCAGAATCCACAAAAATAGAGTTTCAAAGCTGCTCTGTAAAAAGAAAGGTTCCACTCTGTTAGCTGAGTACACACATCACAAACTTGTTTCTGAGTATCCTTCTGTCTCGTTTTTATGGGAAGATATTTACTTTTTCACCGTAGGCATCAAAGCGCTCCAAATGTCCACATCCAGATATTCCAGAAAGAGTGTTTCAAACCTGCTCTATGAAAGGGAATCTTCAACTCTATGAGTTGAATGCAGACATCAGAAACTAATTTCTGAGAATGCTGCTGTCTACCATTTATTTGAATTCCCGCTTCCAACGAAATCTTCCAACCTATCCAAATATCCACCTGCATTTTCCACAAAAAGAGTGTTTCAAAACTGCTCTATCAATAGAAATGTTCAACTCCTTTAGCTAGGTATACACATCACAAACAAGTTTCTGAGAATGCTTCTGTCTACTTTTTAAGGGAAGACATTTCCTTTTTCACCAAAGGCATCAAAGCGCTCCAAATGTCCACTTCCAGATTCTACAAAAAGAGTGTTTCAAACCTGCTCTAAGTAAGGGAGTTTTCAACTCTGTGACTGGAATGCAGATATCACAAAGTAGATTCTGAGACTGCTTCTGTCTAGATTTTAGATGATGATATTCCCGTTTCCAACGAAATCATTAGAGCTATCCAAATATCCACTTACAGTTTCTACAAACAGAGTGTTTCCAAACTGCTGCATCAGAAGAGAGGTTCCACTCTGTTAGCTGAGTACGCACATCACAAACTTGTTTCTGAGAATCCTTCTGTCTCGTTTTTATGGGAAGATATTTACCTTTTCACCGTAGGCATCAAAGCGCTCCATATGTCCACATCCAGATACTCCACAAAGAGTGTTTCAAACCTGCTCTATGAAAGGGAATCTTCAACTCTATGAGTTGAATGCAGACATCAGAAAGAAATTTCTGAGAATGCTGCTGTCTACCTTTCATTTGAATTCCCGCTTCCAACAAAATCCTCCAGGCTATCCAAATATCCACTTGCAGATTCCACAAAAACAGTGTTTCTAAACTGCTCTATCAATGGCAAGGTTCAACTCTGTCAGTTGAGGATACACATCACAAACAAGTTTCTGAGAGTTCTTCTGTCTATTTTTTATGGGAAGATATTTCCTTTTTCACTGTAGGCGTCAAGGCGATCGAAATGTCCACTTCCACAAACTACAAAAAGAGTGTTTCAAACCTGCTCTATGAAACGCGATGTTCATCTCAATGAGTTGAATGGAAATATCCGAAAGAAATTTCTGGGAATGCTGCTGTCTAGTTTTTATATGAATTCCCGCTTCCAACGAAATCCTCAAAGCAATCCAAATATCCACTTGCAGAATCCACAAAAAGAGTGTTTCAAAACTGCTCTATCAATAGAAAGGTTCAACTCTTTTAGTTGAGTACACACATCACAAACAAGTTTCTGAGAATGCTTCTGTCTGGCTTTTATTGGAAGACGTTTCCTTTTCACCAAAGGCATCAAAGCGCTCCAAATGTCCACTTCCAGATTCTTCCAAAAGAGTGTTTCAAACGTGCTCAAAGTAAGGGTATGTTCAACTCTGTGACTTGAATGCAGATATCACCAAGTAGTTTCTAATAGTGCTTCTGTCTAGATTTTAGATGATGATATTCCCGTTTCCAAGGAAATCGTTAGAGCTATCCAAATATCCAGTTACAGTTTCTACCAAAAGGGTGTTTCCAAATTGCTGCATCAAAAGAAAGGTTCAACTCTGTTAGTTGAGGACACACATCACAAAGAAGTTTGTGAGAATGCTTCTGTCTAGAGTTTGTATGACGATATTCCCTTTTCCAACGATATCGTTAAAGCAATCTAAATATCAATTTGCAGAATCCACAAAAATAGAGTTTCAAAGCTGCTCTGTAAAAAGAAAGGTTCCACTCTGTTAGCTGAGTACACACATCACAAACTTGTTTCTGAGAATCCTTCTGTCTCGTTTTTATCAGAAGATATTTACTTTTCCACCGTAGGCATCAAAGCGCTCCAATTGTCCACATCCAGATACTCCAGAAAGAGTGTTTCAAACCTGCTCTATGAAAGGGAATCTTCAACTCTATGAGTTGAATGCAGACATCAGAAAGAAATTTCTGAGAATGCTGCTGTCTACTTTTTATTTGAATTCCCGCTTCCAACGAAATCCTCCAAGCTATCCAAATATCCACCTGCATTTTCCACAAAAAGAGTGTTTCAAAACTGCTCTATCAATAGAAATGTTCAACTCCTTTAGCTGGGTAGACACATCACAAACAAGTTTCTGAGAATGCTTCTGTCTAGTTTTTATGGGAAGACGTTCCCTTTTTCACCAAAGGCATCAAAGCGCTCCAAATGTCCACTTCCAGATACTACAAAAAGAGTGTTTCAAACGTGCTCTAAGAAAGCGAATGTTCAACTCTCTGACTTGAATGCAGATATCACAAAGTAGTTTCTGAGAGGGCTTCTGTCTAGATTTTAGATGATGATATTCCCGTTTCCAACGAAATCATTAGAGCTATCTAAATATCCACTTACAGTTTCTACAAAAAGAGTGTTTCCAAACTGCTGCATCAAAAGAGAGGTTCCACTCTGTTAGCTGAGTACACACATCACAAACTTGATTCTGAGAATCCTTCTGTCTCGTTTTTATGGGAAGATATTTACTTTTTCACCGTAGGAATCAAAGCGCTCCAAATGTCCACATCCAGATACTCCAGAAAGAGTGTTTCAAACCTGCTCTATGAAAGGGAATCTTCAACTCTATGAGTTGAATGCAGACATCAGAAAGAAATTTCTGAGAATGCTGCTGTCTACCTTTTATTTGAATTCCCGCTTCCAACGAAATCCTCCAAGCTATCCAAATATCCACTTGCAGATTCCACAAAAAGAGTGTTTCAAAACTGCTCTGTATCAATGGCAAAGTTCAACTCTGTTAGTTGAGGACACATATCACCAACAAGTTTCTCAGAATGCTTCTGTCTATTTTTTATGGGAAGATATTTCCTTTTTCAGCGTAGGCGTCAAGGCGATCGAAATGTCCACTTCCACAAACTACAAAAAGAGTGTTTCAAACCTGCTCTATGAAAGGCCATGTTCAACTCTATGAGTTGAATGGAAATATCCGAAAGAAAATTCTGGGAATGCTGCTGTCTAGTGTTTATACGAATTCCCGCTTCCAACGAAATCCTCAAAGCAATCCAAATATCCACTTGCAGAATCCACAAAAAGAGTGTTTCAAAACTGCTCTATCAATAGAAAGGTTCAACTCTTTTAGTTGAGTACACACATCACCAACAAGTTTCTGAGAATGCTTCTGTCTGGCTTTTATTGGAAGACGTTTCCTTTTCACCAAAGGCATCAAAGCGCTCCAAATGTCCACTTCCAGATTCTTCCAAAAGAGTGTTTCAAACGTGCTCGAAGTAAGGGAATGTTCTACTCTGTGACTTGAATGCAGATATCACCAAGTAGTTTCTAATAGTGCTTCTGTCTACATTTTAGATGATGATATTCCCGTTTCCCACGAAATCGTTAGAGCTATCCAAATATCCAGTTACAGTTTCTACCAAAAGGGTGTTTCCAAATTGCTGCATCAAAAGAAAGGTTCAACTCTGTTAGTTGAGGACACACATCACAAAGAAGTTTGTGAGAATGCTTCTGTCTAGATTTTCTATGACGGTATTCCCTTTTCCAACGATATCGTTAAAGCAATCTAAATATCAATTTGCAGAATCCACAACAATAGAGTTTCAAAGCTGCTCTGTAAAAAGAAAGGTTCCACTCTGTTAGCTGAGTACACACATCACAAACTTGTTTCTGAGAATCCTTCTGTCTAGTTTTTATGGGAAGATATTTACTTTTTCACCGTAGGTATCAAAGCGCTCCAAGTGTCCACATCCAGATACTACAGAAAGAGTGTTTCAAACCTGCTCTATGAAAGGGAATCTTCAACTCTATGAGTTGAATGCAGACATCAGAAAGTAATTTCTGAGAATGCTGCTGTCTACCTTTCATTTCAATTCCCGCTTCCAACGAAATCCTCCAAGCTATCCAAATATTCACTTGCAGATTCCACAAAAAGAGTGTTTCAAAACTACTCTATCAATAGAAAGGTACAACTCTGTCAGTTGAGGACACACATCACAAACAAGTTTCTGAGAATTCT